>NC_000021.9:43468170-43622065 GCF_000001405.40 Homo sapiens
CTACACATCACACACCTCACACTACATACCTCATACACACCACACACCACACACCCCACATACCTCCCACACACACCATACACACACACTAGATCTCAAACATAACATACACCACATACCTCACACCCCCCCGACACTATACAGCTCACATATACACAACACACACCTACCTTACACACATGCCACACACTCCACATCCCTTACACACAATCAGTATATATCACACATACACAATACATTCCTCACACCCCACATACCTCACACAACCACATACACTACACACACATCGCACACTACCTCACACACATACTGTATACCTCACACATACATTTCACACACACCACACACCTCACACACAGTGCACACACACCACACCCCTCACACGTTTCCTTGCAGAGCCGTATTGTGTGTGTGTGTGGTGTGTTCATGTGTGTACTTGTGTGTATATGGGGTGTGTGGTATGTTCGTGTGTGTACTTGTGTGTATATGGGGTGTGTGGTGTGTATATGTGTGTGGGGTATGTGTGTGTGTGGTGTGTGCGTGTCCTGCTCATGCAGAGTGTCCGCAACCACTTCTCGCCTCCTCTGTCCCACCCGCCCAACCCCCTGGCACTCCTGTGGACTATGACCCCCTGAAGCCACAAACCCCGAGCTGAGCTAAACCACTGCTCGAGGTGCGGGGTGCGCAGCACTCCACAGCCCGTTGCATTTCCACGTCGCAAATCCTCAGGGAGCATTTCCTTGGAGATACAAGAAGTGCATCCACGTGTTCCCAAGTCCTTTCGCTCAGGGAGTGCCGACTGGTGTCGGCCTTCCAGAAATGACTTTCTAAGCACTTCCATCCCACGCAGACCTGCTTCCTGAAGCCCAGCCTGGTCTCTCTGTGCCCGTGTGTCATCCTTGCCCACTCTTACATGCTGCGAGGCTGGCTGTGTCTGCAGCCGCAGCCATCAGAGGCCTGGAGGTAGCAGAAGCAGCTCTGGTGTGCGCTCAAAAGCTCCTTGCGGCTTGCTCCAGCCACTCACTTATCACCGTGTGGAGTAGAGGGTGTGTGTGTGAGTGCGGTGTGTGTGAAGCCACACCAAACTCATTCCCAGCCTAGGGAGTGAGCCTCCTCTGGCCCGGGCTTAACAAACTCTGGTCAATGTGACCCACGCAGACAGCAAGAGGAGGGACGTCCACTCGCACAGACCCACTTGACCTGGGTGCAGCTGACTTCCTAGTCTTCCCTTCTATGAAACGGTGACTTCTGTGGCATGCAGCCCTGCCCTGGCCCGCGGGGACACGCAAGCTTGGGACCCAGGAGAGCAATGACACCGGAAGGGCCAGGCCCTTTGCTGTCTTGGGGGTGCCAGGCCAGAACTCCAAGTCACCAAGCAAAGAGGGCCCCAGAGTCCCCTGTGGTCCCCAAACCTGGCCAAGGTTAGAGTCACCGAGGGGCCTGGACAGATGCCAGGGCCAGCCCAGGCCTGCCACGGCGGGGGAGACTGCCGGGAGGCGAGGCTGGGAGTCTCATCATCAAGCTTCCCGGGGCTCTTGCTGGCATCCCACCCAGGGTTTTAAGGGACATTTGGCAGCAGCTGGACTCCGAGGGAGGGGGTTGGGGGACGACCATGCATTTGTTCTGGGAATGCTCTTGCATGTGCCCGCATTGCCCCTCATGTCCCCATGTCCATGCCAGGTGGACAGCGTGTCCACCAAGGCCCTGACTGCACAGCCAGCTGTGCTCTCGGGAGCATGCCACTCGGCCGGCTCTCCGGCCCTGACTCAGCTCAGGCAGGGGCTCAGCGCCCAGTCTGTGCTTGCAGGTCGTCGCTCAGGCCGGAGCCGAGGAGCTTCGCCAGGCCTGAGATACCTAGACAAGAAGTGCCAGCTCCAGTGCCTGGGGAGGCCAGGCAGGGACGTACGCCACGAGGGATGACGCGGGGTGGAGATGGTGGTGAACGCACAGAGTCATAACGCAGTGGCTTCCCACCTTCGCCATGTGGGAATGTGGCTCCAGGGAACTAGACTGGTCTGTGGCACTTCCTCTTTGAAAGGTAGGCCATTCCTCTAAAAGAGCTGGAGGCGTGGCAGGCCGGCAGCACAGGCACTAACAAGGCAACCAGCCACTGTCAGAGCACACCACACCTCTGTTCTCACCAACCTTTCAACTTACAGAAGAGGAGACGGCCTCGAGACCCAGTGTGCGTGACCAGTTCCACGTGCCACTAGCGCCAGCCGCCTAGAACTCCAAGAGAGGAAAGCAAGAGCTCCCTTGCCATGCGTTTGCTCAGAACTTTAATTTTTTCTCCTCAAGGAAAGTAAAAGAAACAGGTCTTCCTTCCACTGTGCAGGCAGTCAGCGAGCTCCTGCAGGTCCTGCTCTGTAAGCAGAAAGCTGGAGGCTGCACCCCAGATCAAGGCCCTCACACCTCAAAGGTTCTCACGGAGGCCTCGTCTCTGCCCCGCATCTCCAGAATGTGCTTGCTGGTCAGAGAAGAGTCCAGTGTGGCTCAGACAAACACAATCACCTTTCCCAGCAGCCAGGTCCATTCTCTGACAACATCCCACTGGGCACAGCCACACTGACTCCTGCTGCCACTGCAGCCACACCTGGGCCTCTCCTCCCCTGCACCAAGCATGGCAACCCTCTAGGCCATGGCCTCACCTGCCATTACCCCCTGGCCCCATTACCCCTGCCCCCAGCTCCGCATGTCAGGTTTGCTGCCCTGTCCTGCCTAGAACGCTCCGCAGGCTGCTGTCTCTGTACCCCCTCCTGCCGAATAACGACTGTTGGCGGCTCTGTGGGTTCATGTGCTTCGGAATTAAACCACAGGGCCTGCTTCTCATTGCCACTGATGCTCGGCTTCCAAGCCCCCATCGCCACCCACCAATGGCTATTCAGTGTCCGCAATGACAAGAACACCCTGGATACTCCCAGATCGGCTGGCTGTGATGGTGCTCACAGGCCCAGGCAAGAGCCAGCCCCAGATGGGCCCATAGTGCTGCTCTGCTTAGAGCCAATGCCTGCACCAGGCAGCTACCCTGGAGGTGCCCCTGTGAGTGGGCATAGGCAGGTACACCCCCAGCAGTGGCAGGTGCAGCATCTCGGGCAGTCGGGGGGCATCCGCACAGGCCTGGGTGCAAACTGCGGCAAATCCCATGATTCTGCATACAAGAAGGGTGGGGACGTGTGTTTTCCAGGGGAAATGGTCCCTGTCGTGCATCAGATTCTCAAAGGGGTCCAGCACCCAAACAAGTGCAGGGGTCACTGGGGGACACTGGTGCAACAGAAGCAGCCCTGGACTGGGAGTCGGGGCCCCACTGCCGACCAGCTCCACCCTAAAAACTCATCACTCACCCTCGTGTTTCCTAGCAGATAGTGGGAAGAGATGCAGGCCCATCGTGTGCACAGAGGTTCAGAGTGAGCGCACTGTGAGTGGAAACTGTCACGCAAGCCTCGGGCATGACGTCCTTCCCAGACATTCTTTCCCATCGGGCTTCTCGATCCGGGGTGTTGGTGCCTCCCAGGGGTCTGCGGCACCTGTGAAGCAGCAGCAGAGCCACTTCGTCATGGTCCACTGTGATGGTTAGCTCTGTCTCCTCCTGGCTGGGGCTGGGATGCATGACAGCTGGGGAGATATTACTTCTGGGGGATCTGTGAGGGTGCTTCCGGGTGAGATCAGCGTTTGAACTGGCCTCAGGAAGCCAGACGCCCCTCCCGGTGTGGGTGGAATCATTTAACCCAGTGAGGGCCTGACTAGAACAAAAAAGGCAGAGGAAGGGAGAGCTGGCTCTGAGAGCTGAGACTTCATCTCCTCCTGGGATCAGACAGCAGCGCTCAGCTCTCAGGCCTGCTGCCGTGGATGGAATTACACCCCAGGCAGAGGAAGGGAGAGCTGGCTCTCAGAGCTGAGACACCATCTCCTGCTGAGCTCAGGTACTGGCCTCAGCTCTCAGGCCTGCGCCATGGATGGAATTACACCCCAGGCTTTCTTGGTTCTCCCACTTGCAGATGGCAGCTCATGGAATTTCTCAGCCTCTGTAACTGCATGCGCCAATTCCTGTAATAATGCCTCTTCTCTTAGGTATCTATATCCATCTCTGTGTCTGCATCTCCTATAGGCTCTGCTTCGCTGGAGAACCCTGACTAGTACAGGCCATCTTCCTGGGGTACAGGCCATCTTCCTGTGTGGGAAGTCAAGGCAGGAGCAGAAGGTGGCTAAGTGAATATTTAACCACTATGCAACTATATTGAAACATATACACATCAAGGGTGGCAAGGGCAGGCAGGCCACAAGGATGGCTGCCAGAGGCCACCATGGCACTTCCCCCCAATACCAGGAGCAAATGATGGACTCGGCCATACCCTACAACCATCCTGGGGTATGGGCTGGAACCCCCAGGGAGAGGCGGGCAGCAGAAAGCCTGCAGGCCCCCAGCTTTGTACCATGAGAGGTGTGTGGGGCCCAGGTCCAGGTGAGCATCGTGGCTGTCCTCCAGGAGTGGCGCCTGGCCCGCTCGCTGCTCTCTCACTTCATGGTACTTGGGGAGGGGCAGAGAGCACCCTACAGAGACAACACTGGCTTCGGGACGCACCCACAGCCACCCAGGAAAAGCCTTGAGAGCACAATGAGATGGAGACCACAGCCCCCAGGAGAGAAGACAAAACTTGAGATCTGGCTCTGACTGAATTGACTGCCGCCAAAACAATGAACAGAAATCAACATTTTCCAGCAGATTTTAACAAGAATCTACACTACATAGTATTCAAGATGTCCACAATACAATTCAAAATTACTTGACGGGCCGAGCGTGGTGGCTCACGCCTGTAATCCCAGCACTTTGGGAGGCCAAGGCAGGCAGATGATGAGGTCAGGAGTTCAAGACCAGCCTGGCCAACATGGTGAAACCCTGTCTCTACTAAAAATACAAAAATTAGCCAGGTGTGGTGGCGAGTGCCTGTAATCCCAGCTACTCGGGAGGTTGAGGCAGGAGAATCGCTTGAACCTGGGAGGCGGAGGTTGCAGTGAGCTGAGATCCTGCCACTGCCCTCCAGCCTGGGCGACAGAGCAAGACTCCGTCTCGGAAAAAAAAAAAAATTACTTGACATACAAAGAGCCACAAAATTCTCAAGAGAGAGAGAGTCAACAGATGCTCTAGGTGCTGGAATTAGGTCAAGACTGGACAGCACCTGTCACAACTGTGCTCCACATGGTAAAAGAAACCACGAGTGAAGCAGATGGAAGGACAGAAATTCTCAGTAGGTAAATGGAAACTACAAAAAAGAACTAAATAGAAATTTCAGAACTCAAAGATATGATACCTGAGAAATTGTTTTTTTTTAATGGACAGACCTAATAGCAGAATGTCAGTGACAGAGGAAAGAATCTGTGAACTTATACATGGATCAGTAGAAAATTTCCAATCTAGACAATAGAAAGAAAAGTAAGACTGAAGGCCGGGCACGGTGGCTCATGCCTGTAATCCCAGCACTTTGGGAGGCCGAGGTGGGTGGATCACCGGAGGTCATGAGTTCGAGACCAGCCTGGCCAACATGGTGAAACCCTGTCTCTACTAAAAATACAAAAATTAGCTGGGCATGATGGCGGGTGCCTTAATCCCAGCTACTCGGGAGGCTGAGGTGGGAGAATCACTTGAACCTGGGAGGCGAAGGTTGCAGTGAGCTGAGATCACGCCATTGCACTCCAGCCTAGGTGGCAAAGCAAGACTCCATCTCAAAAAAAAAAAAAAGAAAAGAAAAAGAAGACTGAAAAAAATGAGCAGAGTCCAGGGACCTGTGGAATGATATCAAAAGGTCTAACATTCACGTCCTTAGAGGCCCAGAGGAGAGAAGAAAATGGTGCAGAAAAATATTTGAAGAAATAAAAGCAGAAAACTTCCCAAATTTGGGGGAACATATCAATTTACAGTTTTAATGAGCTCAGCAAATCCCAAACAGACTAGACTCAAATAAAACCATGCCTACACACATTAAAAACTGCTAAAACATAAAAACAAAGAGAAAAATCTTGAATGTAGCCAGAGAAAAATGATAGCTTACACACACAGAGGGAGCAGGAATTCAAATGACCCAGGATTTCTCATCAAAACCACAGAGGCCAGCAAATACACTGTGGAGGCTTGAACGCATGCAGCTAAGTGAAAACAGCCAGCCTGGGAAAGGCCACACAACTATACAACTCCAGCTATACAACTCTCGGGAACAGGCAAAACCATGGAGACGGGAAAAAGGTCAGTGGCTGCCAGGGGTTGGGAGGAGGGAGGGATGAATTGGCAGAGTGTGGAGGATTTTTAGGGCAGTGAAACTATTCCGTATGATGTTATAATGATGTCATTATACATGTCATTATATATTTGCCCCAAGCCCAGAATGTACAACACACAGAGTGATCCCTGTTGTAAAAGATGGACGTAGGTAGTAACAATGTATGGATACTGGCTCATCAGCTGTGACCCATGTCCCATGGCATGGCTGTGCTCATAACAGGGAAGGAAGCTGTGGACAGTGTGGGGGAGGCGGGTGCGGGAATTCTCTGTACTTCCTGCTCAGTTTTTCTGCAAACCTAAATCTACTTCTTAAAACTCTACTAACTAAACAGAAATTAGGTGCAAAATAAGCAGAGAACTTTTATTTTGTTTTGTTTTTTGAGATAGGGTCTTGCTCTGTCGCCTAGGCTGGAGTGTAGTGGCGTCATCTCAGCTCACCGCAACCTCTGCATCCCAGGTTCAAGCGATTCTCCTGGCTCAGCCTTCGGAATAGCTGGGATTATAGGTGTGAGCCACCACACCTGGCTAATTGTTGTATTTTTAGTAGAGATGGGTTCTCACCATGTCGGCCAGGCTGGTCTCAAACTCCTGACCTCAAGTGATCCACCCGCCTCAGCCTCCCAAAGTTCTGGGATTACAGGCATAAGCCACTGCACCCCACTAGCATAGAAATTTTTAAAACAAACAAACAAAAAAAACTGCTTAAACAAAACAGGGAGGCCAGAAGACGATGGAACAATACCTTTTTTTTTCTTTTTTTTTTTAAATTATACTTTAAGTTCTAGGGTACTTGTGCAGAACATGCAGGTTTGCTACGTATGTACACATGCGCCATGCTGGTGTGCTGCACGAAGAATGAAAGGAGAAGAAGTCACCACAGAATCCTACATCCAGTGGAGACAGCCTTCAGGAATAGAAGCAAAATAAAGACATTCTCAAGTAAAGGAACTAGAAGAGAATTGTCACCAGCAAGGGAAAAGACCCCAGGGGGAAACACAGCACTTCTAGAATGAAGAAAGAGAAACAGAAATAGCGGATACCTGGGTAAATAGTTTTTAAACTATTTTTTCTTTTAAGTCCTTTAAAATATGTATGACTATTGAAAGCAAAAAATATACCATCATCTTGGCCAGGTGTGGTGGCTCATGCCTGTAATCCCAGCACTTTGGGAGGCTGAGGCGGGCAGATCACTTGAGCTCAGGAGTTCGAGACCAGCCTGGCCAACATGGTGAGACCCCCTCTCTACTAAAATTACAAAAATTAGCTGGGCGTCGTGACGCGTGCCTGTAATCCCAGCTACTCAGGAGGCTGAGGCAGGAGAATCGCTTGAACCCGGGAGGCAGAGGTTGCAGTGAGCCGAGAGTGTGCCATTGCACTCCAGCCTGGGTGACAGAGCAAGACTCTGTCTAAAAAAAAATACACACACAGACACATACACACACACACACAGACACACACACACACACACACACACACCCCATCATCTGGTGAGATTTTTAATGTTTGCAGACATGATACATGACAACTCACAGGCAGGGTCTAAGTGCTTCCAGCGCTTCCACACTTCACTCGAAGTCACAAAGCAGGATCTGCAGAAACTGTGAAAGGCTAGGTTTAGTATATTGTAATCTCTAAGCAATCACTTAGAAAAGATATACAGTAAAATAAAACTGAAAAGAGATTTAGCCAAAAAAGACAACAGATACATTAAAATGGAAAATGGTAAAATATTAAAATAAGAAAAGGGAGCAGAAGGGACAATCAAAACCAACCGTAAGGCCAGACCTCAATGTTACAGTTCACAACAATAGCACATATGCATCATAACCATCCCAGGACAGACCACAGTCGCGTATCAAGAGCGGCAGGACATAAGCCACCAGGAGCAGGAGGAAGGCAGAGAAGCCATGGTGAAGACATGAAGAGACAGCCACCTTCACCCCTAACCCTGTACCTGTGGGGTCAAGCATGACATCTGAGCCTCTGTCCCTGGACTAGGGTAAACAAGGGGATCTCTGGGCCCAGGAAGGCTGGGGGCAGGGGCTGTGAGGAGCTGAGGGGCCTGCAGGCCACGCTGCCCTGGCACCCCATCTGGCACCTCTAGGTGGGTTCCCTCTCACTCCCGGTCAGGGAGCAGCATCTGACAAAACACTCTGCTGCAGGCCTCGGTCTCCCCCTCTGCTGAACGTCAGGCGGGTGCTGTCTGGGGCCTCCAGATGCTCCAAGGGGAAGACACGGCGCTGGAAGGCTCTGGGCGGTGGAGGGCTGTACAGGAGGGGCCATGGGCCTCCTGGAACTCCCCTGGGAATGCTAGAAGGGGGCAGAGACAGCTCAGATGAAGCCCTGAGAGATTCCAATGGCATCCCAGGCCCCTCTCCCATCTCTCTCCCTCCCCCATCATCACTGCCTCTGAGGCCAGGGTACCCCAGGCTCTCCAACCCCACATATGGAGGCGGGCAGGCTCAGCTTCTGTCCAGCACCAGAGCAGTTGGAGAATGAAGTGGAACCCAAACGTGGCTCCGTCCCCCAGGGAGACAAACCTGCAGACACCCTCCTGAGACTGGGACAGGGGGACGGGGAAGCCTGGCCCAGACAGAAGCACGAATTGGTGGCGTGGGCCTGGTGTTGAGAACAGGGTCCAACATCACAACCCCGCTCGGGAGGCCAGCGTCCGGGGCCTCTGCCAGCTCTGTCCCAGACGGAATTTGTTCTCACTCTGGACACCCCCAGGGGACCCCTGTGCTCACAGGCAGATCCAGGGGGCAGGAGGGGGGCCTTCCCATGCCAAGTGCAGTTGGATGATGAACGACACCCCCAAAAGATTTGTCCAGGTCCTAACCCGAGGAACTGGAGAATGGGACCTGATTTAGAAAAGGGGTCTTTGCAGATAGATGGGATTAAGTTAAGGATTTTGAGATGAAAGCCTCCTGGATGAGGGTGGACTTGAGATCCAAGGACACGTTCTGAGAAGGGGGAAAGGTGCAGAGACACAGTCACGTGAGACGGAGGCAGAGAACTGGAGCGATGCGGACACAAGCCAAGGACTGCCTGGGCCACCGGAAGCTAGGAGCGGCAGGAAGGGTTTTCTCCTGGAGCCTTCAGCAGGAGGTGGCCCTGCCGACACCTTGATTTTGAAGTCTGGCCCCAGGACTCAGAGAGTCCACTTCTGCTGCATGAGGCCCCCCGCATGCAGTATCCTGTCATGGCAGCCCCTGCCTCATGCGGCCTGGATCTCATGAGGGGTCCACTCCCCTCGTCTCCCCGGTGGGGCGCGGCATCTTCATGCTGCCCTCTAAGGACAAGCGCATGAGAGGCCAGCCTCCCCCACCAGCAGGACAGAATGCACGAGGCCTTTACCAGGCCACACTGGCGCCTGGCGTGGCTAGGACAGCAGTGCTGCTGCCCCGCTGTGGGGCCGAAAGAAGCCAGGGATGAGGGTGCGGGCGCATCTGTGGGTCCCGGAGGCTCCAGACCCCCAGGCCAACTGCACAGCCTGCAGGCAGCACTGCCTGGCCAGCCCTGTCATCCCTCTGTCCGTACATCTAACCACTTTCTCTCTGGGGCCGCCCCGCCCAGAGTCCCTTTCCTGCCGGAGGCTGGGGCTTTCCTGGCAGCTACTCACCACTCTCCCGGTGTTTGTTCATCGAGGTTTCCCGCTGCTGACGGTTGTTTTGACTTGCTCAGAGTTGTCATGCACCTTTGCCCTGGCTATGTAAGGAGAAGGAGCCTTTATGCAATCCAGGAAGCCCGCGTCAGGCCCAGGAGGTGCGCCAGCTCTCTAGGATGCTGGCCAAGGTCCCCCGCACTTGGCCGGATCCAGGCAGGGAGTGACGGACCTGCTGGCATCCTCCTGACCCCGGTTTCCAGCTCTCCCCTCCCCCTGTCGACAACCCAGGGTCAGAGGACAGGCAGCCACCTGGCCAAGGGGCAGGCCCCCTTGTGCCCTGGATGGTGATGGCCTCTGGGGCCAGAAAGAACAAGGTGGTGAGGGGACCATGGAAGACGGCCTGGACTTTAGTGAGGGTGGATGGCTTGCTGGGCGGGTTCCTCAGGGGCAGAGGCTGGGACAGGATTCAGGGTTACATGGCATGTGACCCCTGGCCACCCCAGGAGAAGAGAGGGAAGGAGCAGGGGTCAGGACAAAGGGGCAGGTGCCCCCTGGGGGACTCAGGGGGCAGGCACCCATGGGGTACTGGGGAGGCTGCAGAGACACCTGCAGAGTTGCCCCCGCCGGCAGGAGACACTTGGCTACTTATCCCCCACCTGCCGTCAGTCGCTGTCAAGGGGCTCCCAGGGACCCTGACTGCCCAGCATGTCTGGCCTGGCTGGAGGGAGTCCCCAGGTAGCGCTGAGCCATTGTACAGGCTGGAGGGACGAGGCTGTTACTGGCGCCCAGGCTTGGGGCCATGCTGCAGCAGCCTGGGAGAGGCAGAGAGAGAGAGACACCGGGCCTTCCCCATGGCAGAGCCGGCCACTAGCTGAGCCTGGCTGAGAGGCGGTAAGGGGGCTGGGCCTGGCCCTGGAGCGAGCTCTACGAGGGGGTCTGGGGCTCACAGACAGGCCAGCACCATGCCTCCAAGAGTCAGAGAAGTGAGGCATCAGACAGGCTGTGGCCCAGTCCCACAGAAGAGGTGCCGTCTTGAGCCTCCAGTGTGCTCTGCACGGCCTGGAGGCCCGGACACGTTTTGGGTGGAGGGTGGGGGTCTCAGCCTGGGCCAGGCTCCCCATCTCACCCCTAAGAGTGGCATCGGCCCAGGGTCCGGCCAGGCCCTACTGATGTGTTCTCAGGGGCCAGGACATCAGTGCAACAGGGCAGCCGCTTGCGACAGGACCCGGCCGACTGTCCCCGTCCCCAGAGCACTTTTGGCTGCATCTGGGAGCCGCATCCCCTGTTTGTTCTCTGGAACCAGGAAGCCAGGGCTTTCCACTTCCTGGCTGCTGCAGAGGCCATGCTCTTTTTACTCTCCAAATAGGAAAGCTCCTGCAAGCCTCCTGCCAAGTGAGTGTGGAGAGCTGATCTCAGTGTGGCTGAGGTTAATGGACAGGAAGTGCCATTACCTAAATGGGCCAATAAGCTGATGAGAAGCCCGAGAAGAAAGCCTTTCCAGGCCTTGACCCAGAGAGCCGGCAGGAAAGCGGCAGGCGTCGCGGCCCCAGCAGGGAAGACCAGCTCCTGAGCTCGAGCCCCAGCTCCATCTGCAGCCTGGCCTCACCGCAGTGCCCTCGGACCTCTGCTCACCCTTCTCTGGCCTCCTCTGGCCTCCTCAGGGCTCCTGCACACACACCTGTGGGTCTACAAGGGGCAAAAAAGATCCCGGAACATCGGAGCAAGAGCCCCCCACCCGACCCCGTGTGCAAGCCCCCATTTACGTGTTGCACTCCCAGGGGCCCCTGAAGCCCTCCCTCTCGGCCTCAAAATTCCCATTGCAGACATGGTCCAGCAAGGCCAGCTGTCTGGCTTTCCGGCCGACGATCAAAACAGCAAGTCGGAATGATGATGGGCTGATGGACGCGGGCCACCGACAACCAGGTGACCACTGAGAGCAAGGAAGAAGCCACACAGATGCAAGGCCCCCAAAGTGGGAAACCCCGTGGCAGGGGCCAGGGGCACCTAAATAACAGACGTCCCACGGTGTCACCTGGGCCCGGTACAGGATGGCGGCTAGCAAGGCCGTGTCACCAGGAGGCTGAGTCACGGGGAGGCTGCGCCACTGGGAGGCTGCGCAGACTGTTGAAGGGGGCACAGGAACGTGGAATTGGTGTTGGACCAAATGAAACTGCCAACACCTGCCCTCAAAACTGGGGAGTTCCCAGTGGCTGAACCGAGGATTTCCACAATGGGGGGCACTGTTCTAAAAAGAGAAGGTTGAGGGCCTAGACCGTTGAGTTGTAATCATTCACAAAACCTTTTCCATGGAATTCTGCAGCTGGCCTGGGAAGGCTGTGCACGGTGGCCACACGGTGCTGCGGTGAAGTCTAAGGGGCTGTTCAACGTAGCACCTACATTTGGGGAATTACAGATGCCACAGCCTGCAGGGAGGCACCCACAACTGTCTCCCCCAAGGTAAAGACGACTGTCCTTCACTTACGACACACCGGGTTCCTGCACAGCGATGGCCTGGAGCATCCAGAGAAGGGTCCCTGCTCTCAGAGCCGGCCAGGCGGGCTGTGTACACGGCCACGGAAAGCACCCTTGGGGGAGGGTGTTGCTGTGATTTCTGCACCCCCACTTCCTCACGTCCTGCAACCTAGCTAGAATCTGCAATCAAAAGCTACCCAGCTTTGGAAGGCTGAGTGGGATCACTTAAGGCCAGGAGTTTGAGTCCAGCCTGGGCAACACAGCAAGTTCCCGTCTCTGAAAAAAAAAAAAAAATTAGGCAGGCGTGGTGGTGTGTCGCTGTGGTCCCAGCTCCTCAGGAGGCTGAGGTGGGAGGATCACTTGAACCCTGGAGTTCAAGGTTGCAGTGAGCCATGATCGCACCACTGAAGGTCAGCCTGGGCAACAGAGTAAGACTCTATCCCAAACGGAATTTGTTCTCACTCTGGACACCCCCAGGGGCACCCTGTGTTCACAGGCAGATCCAGGGGGCGGGAGTGAGACCTTGCCATGCCTGTCTCAAAAAAAAAAAAGCCATCAAGGATGCTTTGGGTGTCGGCCGCCGCAGGCCCCCATCTCTCTGCATCTAGCCACATCACTTGGCCCTCAGAATGGAGCAGGAATGCGAGTTCCAGGCCCAAGAGCCACAGGATGGCGGGAGCTCTCACAAAATGAGCGTGGTCTTGCTAGCGGGGCACAGGCTGTCTCCAGTGGACAGGCCACTCCCACACAGGCATGGAAGTGCAGGACGCGCTCTTCCCGTGGCCTAAGGCCCCTTGTTTCTGGAAGGATGGGTGAAAGCAGACACTACCTGTGCCAACTGGAAAGCTCTCACAACGAGATGAAACACCCGCAGGGCCGTGCCCTGCCTGCAGCAGCTCCGGCCTCGCTGTGCGTTTTCAGGGGACCTTGTGCTGCGGGTGCAACTGTTAGGGTGACCGAGGGAGGGAGGGACATGGGCAGATGGGCAGCCAGGGTACCCTCGGGAGAGGCGTGTGGCTCCGAGCTGCCGACGCACCAGCAGGAACAGGCTCCAAAGGACCCTCAGGAGCGATGACATAAAGACCCTCCCCCGCTGCAGGCACTGCCAAACATTCTGGGTGAGCTCCAGCCCAACCCTCCCACTGTTTGGATGGGGACCCCTGAGGCCCAGGAGTCCACCCAGGTCCCCGTGGTCTCCACGGGGACCAGGGGAGCCAGGCTTCATGCCTGGCCACAGCCCTTGCTGGGTAGGGGAGGTGGGTCTGACTTCCAGGGGAGCATGGTGGGGGCAGCAGGGCCTGCTCGTGGGTCCCTGCCGGGGCCAGAGCGAGGCCACTGGGTGGTGGCGTGGTTCCTAGCTCAGGCCCAGCAGCCCAGGCCTCAACACAGCCCAGAATCTCCTGCAGGCCTAATTTCTGGAGTCTGGCCAGGCACGGTGGCTCACGTCTGTAATCCCAGCACTTTGGGAGGCCAAGGCAGGTGGATCCAAGGTCAGGAGTTCGAGACCAGCCTGACCAACATGGTGAAACCCCATCTCTACTAAAAATATAAAAATTAGCCGGGCGTGGTGGTGGGTGCCTGTAATCCCAGCTACTTAGGAGGCTAAGGCAGGAGAATCGCTTGAATCCAGGAGGTGGAGGCTGTAGTGAGCCAAGACTGCACCATTGCACTCCAGCCTGGGTGACAGAGAGAGACTCTGTCTCAAAATAAATAAATAAATAAGTAAATTTATTTATTTCTGGAGTCTTCATCTTACAAAGACGCAGGGGCCGGAGCTGCCCCTCACAAAAGGCAAGAATGGGCTGCGTGTCAGAGTCAGGCCCAGACCAGGGACAGCAAAGCCACTGGCAGACAGGCGAGGATGAGGACAAGGCCCTGCTGCCGGACACAGTGTGTTGTCTGCACTGAAGGGGGGCCAGCGAGTGCGCAGATGGCAGCCCAGACAGGGAGGAGCCCCTAGCACAGGCCTCTCCTGGGCTCCAGGCACTTCCAGAAGAGGAACAGTTAGGAGAAGGCAGGTAAAGGGGTGGGGCCAGGGCCAGGAGGGGCAGGGTGCCTGCTGTGGCTCTGAAGTTACTGCAGATGCCCTCAGGGGCACAGCGGGGTGACTCCACCTTCCACAGTGACTCTGCAAGATGGACGCCCCTGCCCTATTTCTCAGGCGGGAAATGGGTTCCAGCAGTATCCAGACCACACCCTTGGAAGGGCAGAACCAGGAGCCCCCGTGCCGGGGGGCTTCATAGCCACGGCCTCTCACTGCCCTACCAGCAGGGTCACTGCCCCATCACCAGGAGCCTCTCAAGGGGTGTCCCCACGCACACAGCAGAAAATCCCAAGGACTGGCAACTGCTTGAGCCTCCCGAAGTCCTGGGATTACAGGCGTGAGCCACCACGTCCGGCCCTGCCAGGGCTTTCGGTTGCCGTGTGTGCACGTCTCTGTGTGTGCACATGCATGCACAGGTGTTAAATCTCAGGCCGGGGATGGTGGCTCACACCTGTAATCCCAGCACTTTGGGAGGCCAAGGTTGGCGGATCACTTGAGGCCAAGAGTTCGAGACCATCTGACCAACATGGCGAAACCCCATCTCTACTGAAAATATGAAAATCAGCTGGGCATGGTGGCACGCACCTGTAGTAGTCCCAGATACTCAGGAGACTGAGGCACAAGAATTGCTTAAACCTGGGAGGTGGAGGTTGCAGTGAGCGGAAATGGTGCCACTGCACTCCAGCCTGGGCAACAGGGCGAGACTTTGTTTAAAAAAAAAAAAGAAAGAAATTGTCATCTCTGTCTCTCTGTTTTGCATTCTGGTCAAATTCCGTATTTCTCTCTTCTATTTCACTAATTCTCTTTTCAACTGTGTACTTCATCCTATCCCATCTTCTGAGCCTTTTGTCTCGGTGACTGTATTTTTCATTTCCAGGATGTGCCATTTTCATAACTATCTGTTCTTGTCTTGAATCTGCCATTCAGTTTTTGTAATGTATTTACTTTAATGGCTGTGGTCCTTTTTCTTATCTCTTTGGTAGATTAAGTCTTTATTAGATTCCTCCATAAACTTTACTCCATCTGGAATGAATTCATGTTCTGGGTATGAATTTTGTTGGTTGTTTCTTTTTTAATTTCAATGAAATTAGGATAACGTAAAGTTAGCAATTTAAAAGTGTGCAATTTAGTGGCATTTAATACACTCAGGATGTTGTGTACCCATAACTGTTTCTTAACATGCAAAATCCCGTGCTTCTGAATTGGGGCTTGCAGACTCATTTTTAAAAGTTTAGTCATTGGATCAGGATATGGGAAATCAATTCTCTGAAAGTCAGTTCACAAAATGACCTTGATTGGTCAGTTTGCTGAAAATCAATTCTCTAAACGATACATTTTCCAAGACTTCAGACAGAAACTTTAAACCTTGTCTGGGCAGTTGGCCGCAGCCATTTGGCAACACAGGCAGGAGCAGGGGCTGAAAATTCCAGCAAAATACGTGAGCCAGGGTTAAGGGCACATTCAGAAGAAAAGACATTCAGTCGAGCTGGACCAATGCATATCAGGAAAAGTGGCCGCCATAAAACAGCGAGAAGCCTTTGGAGGCCATTTTTTTATTCACTAACTAGATCACTCCGTGAAGTCGGCTCGGGTCCACCCAGGTCTAGGCAAACAGAGTTGTAGCAAATTGATCTAATTCTGAAGACAAAGTGGCAAGTAGACGTCGAGGGCACGGTGGAGTCCTGGCTTTCCACAAAATTCTGCTAGCTGTGTGACCTCAGGCAAGTCGCTGAGCCTCTCTGTACCTCAGTTTGCCCCTCAGGGTTCCTGTAAGGATTAAATGAGGTCGCCTAGGTGTTGGCGGAGGTTAGTAACCTCCTGGTGGGAGAGCTCTCCAGGCTGTCCAGGGCCTGCACCATCAGCCCTCAGGGCCCTTCCTGCTGCCCTCACAAGCTGATGCCACTCTGGGCCCTGGGTTTCAGGAGAAAATGACCTCTGTAGAAGCTCCCCCTGCCCAGCCCTGGGGAGGAGGCAAGCCAGGGGAGCTCTCGCGAAAGCCCCCAGGAGCACAGCTCTCCTCCCTTCCTTCTCCCTGATCGGTGGACCTATGCAGGGACATGACAGCAGCGTGTCACCCACCCTGGCCACCACTCCCTCCTGGCAGCCCCAGACTGACAGTCTCTGCCTTTCCTTCTTTCTAGTGGCAGCGTCTCTAAAGCAGCTTCTCTTTCGCCTGTTTCCGACCTGACCCCATCACCGGCTGCCCGAGGCCACCCTGCAATCAGCCATATAGGCATTCCCAAAGCCCAGTGAACCCCTGATAGTACGGTGTCCGCCAGGAATGAGGTGGGCACTGGAAATCCATGCATGATAGGAACCAGAAGAGGGTTGGCCCTTCACCCTCCCCACCTTCTGGCCCCCAGACTGGTAGCTTGCCCCCGGGGCCTCCTCTGGGCTAGGGTCTGCCCACCAATGCTTGCTCCTGTGACAGGCAACAGCAACTCCAGATGTCCCATCACAGCTGCCCACCGGACACAGATATGGGGACACCAAGTGCGCAGGGGGCAAAGTCATCTGCGTTGTGCTCAGCTGCCGCCGCCACACAACAGCACCAGAAGAGCTCCCGCCGGGTGTGCTCACACCACACGCTCTCACTGCACACATGCTGGGTTGGTGCCCCGTCCGCTGAAGGGACATGCCACCGAGCATGCCGGGTGCCACCGAGCTGCTGGCATGTTCGGTGCCTGCTGGCTGAACCTCGGAGTTGCGTGGCGGTGGCTTTGCTTCATCACTGTCTGGTTCACCGTGCTCTAAGTTCGGGAGCCCTGCGAGCAGTGATGCGTGGCCACGTCTACAGCCTCGCTGGCCTGTCACGTTCCCAGGTCAGGCTCTCAGCTCCAGCGGGAATCTCCCATTCCCCTACTGTCTTAGTCCATTCTGGCTGCTATAGCAAAATCCCACAGGCGGGCGGCTTCTCAGCAGCAGAAACCTATTTCTCACAGTCCTGCAGGCTGGAAGTCCCAGACCAGGTGCCCGCGTGGCCGGGCTCTGGCGAGGGCCCACCTGCGGCTTGCCCATGAGCGTCTTCTCACTGTGTCCTCACACGTGGAAGGAGCAAGGGATCTCTCCTTCCTAAGGGCACTCATCCCAGCATGAGGGCTCTGTCCTTCAGGCCTAATCACCTCCCAAAGGCCCCACCTCCTAATGCCACTGCTTTGGGGGTGAGGATTTCCACCTGAGTTTTGGGGGAACATGAGCGTCCAGCCCTCAGCAGCTGTTACTGTGACCCGCAAACCTGCCGCCCCCCTGCTCTTGCCCAGCGATCCACAGGCACCCCAGCCCTTCCCATAGCAGGGACAGGAAAGGATTCAGATCCCACGAGGAAAGCCCAGTTCACACATCCAGCTCAGCCCTGCATGTCCCACGTCCTGCTGGGAGCTAGTGGTGTTCATCATAACTCAGCCCCAAGGCAGCCAGCAGCACAGGTGCCACCAACATACAGGGAAATCTGCATCACTTGGTGCCTGTCTGGTGTTCAGTTTCTAGGTGGCTGGTTCTACCCCTGCCATGCACGGGTTCCCACCCCCGCAGCTGCCTCTTCTATCCCCATGATCAGGGGTGGCCAGGCCCCCCCTCCCCTTCTTGGTGGAGCCAGCACTTCCTGCAGGTTCTGGACAACTGGCTGAGACTGGCCTGGGTGCTCAGGGTGCCAGGACTGCTCAGGCCACGCCACACCCAGGCTGGGAGCTGCAGCCGCCACAACAGCACCTCCCAGCTGCCCTCTGCTGCTGCAGCCAACATCACAATGTCATGTCACAGCAGGTGACACAAACCCCACACAGGCACAGTCCACGCAGCCCCAGTCCCATCTCATCTCTCCTTCTCTGTCCCTGCTCCCAGCCTATTCAGCCTGAAAACCCACCCCCTCCCTGGCAGAGTCAGCTGGCCCCGGGCCCACTAGGGGGACCAGCACTGATGCTGCACACTGCCAAGTCACCCAGCAGACATGAGGGCAGGAGAGCAGGCTGGGCAGGACCACCCACTGACCTGTCCCCCTGCCTCCTGGGGCTTCCACGTCCCCACCTATGCATGGGATCTGCGGGGGCTGCACCCACAGGCTCGCTGTGAGCAGGATGAGCTCCATGCGTGGTGAGGGGTCTCCACATGTTCCTGTTATTGCGGATACAGTGACAAGCCCTGAATTTCAAGCGCTCCCATCCAGCAGGAGCGGGGCAGAGAGTGGGGGCTGGGGCTTCCATGAGGGGCCGTCTCACCAAGCCCTAGGCTCGGGCACCAGAATCACACTCTGTACTGGGCTCCCTGTTTTGAGGCACTCCAGGGCTTCCCAGGGCCCTTCCAGGTGCCCTCCTGCCAAGGGTCCAGGGGTCTCAGGTTCCCTGCGCTTGCCTGTCTGGGAAGAAGCTGAGCTGATGGACCCCGCACCCCACAATACCACTGTCCTGGGGCTTTAACACTTAAGAGACCAGCACTCTCCCCACCGTTTTACTTTCTGAACCTTTCAAACACATGGCAATTTATTTAGCCAGTTGTGCAGTGAAGACCCATGCACTCCCAGACACTCCCATGCACAGCGCACTACACTTGCCTAGCCCAGGTCCATCCACCCATCTTACTTCTGATGCATTTCAAAGTAAGTTATTGCAGCATTTCTCACAGAAAAAAACAAATCTAAAGATCCATCACTAGGCAAGACTAGTGAATAAACCACAGCATATCCATACAAGGGAATATTATGTTCCATTTAAGAGTGAGGTATGGGGCTGGGGGTGGTGGCTCACGCCTGTAATCCCAGCACTTTGGGAGGCTGAGGTGGGTGGATCACCTGAGGTCAGGAGTTCAAGACAAGCCTGGCCAACAGGGCGAAATCCTGTCTCTACTAAAAATACAAACACTGGACAGGCATGGTGGCATGTGCCTGTAGTCCCAGCTACTCAGGAGGCTGAGGCAGGAGAATCGCCTGAACCAGGAAGGCAGAGGTTGCAGTGAGCCAAAATGGCACCACTGCACTCCAGCCTGAGTGACAGAGCAAGGCTCCAACTCAAAAAAAAAAAAAAAAAAAAAAAGTGAGGTACGTTCCCAAGATACATGGTCAAGTGAATATGGAAAAGTACAGAACCGTGAACAGACAAAGCTACCATCTGTGCAAACATCTACACAAAGATCCTGCCTAAGCCGCAGAAAGTGGAGGCGGCAATCCCTGGGGCCGGCCTCGGCCAGGAGGGGTCCAGGTCCTCCCACAAATAACCCAACCTCCCGTCCTTCAGAGGCACAGCCCTTGGAGGTGCCTGGTGGAACTGAGCATGGCTGCTCTCCGTGGGAACCGCTCAGCAACTCAGCTGCACAGACTCCTTTCTTCCCACCTCTCCATCCCACTGCTCCCTCCTGTCCCCTCGGGCTTCCTGGGTCACCTCCAGGTAATCCACCTGCACCCAAGCCCCTGCCTCGGCTCTGCCTTCAGGGGAACCCAAACCAAGACACATCTCTTTTACATCAAATGCAGTGTGTTTTTCTGCTGATAGACATGGAAAGGCCCTCAGGGGAAACACAAGAATCTGGCGACAATGACCGCCTTTGGAGAGACACCAGTAGGAGACACCAGTAGGACGTTTACTACTCACTCTTCCTTTAGTTGCTTCTGTGCCTTCTGAAACTTGTTCCCTGGGCATATCTAACTTACTCAAAAACTTACTCTTTCATAAAAGACATCAACTCCTAGACGTCTGCGCGAGAGAAGCGGAAACACAAGTGCCGTGACGTGTTCAGCCACTTGATTCCCAATAGCCACAACGTGGGCACCCCAGCATCCATCAGCTGCTGGGCAGATGCACAGGACACGCATACGATGAAACCTGTTCGGCCATGGAAAGGAGGGAGGCTCTGACTCACGCCACAGCACAGACAAGCCTCAGGACATGCTGCTCAGTGAGAGGCCACATCCTGTGACTCTGCTGCTGGGAAATATTCAGAGCAGGCGCATCCACAGGGACAGGAGCTATGCCAGGGCTGCCAGGGCCTGGGACAGGAACGGGATGAGCCGTGAAGGGGCACACAGGGTCTATCTGGAAGGATGCAATGTTCCGACGGTGGATCGTGCTGGTGGCTGCATGATGCAGTGACAACTGCTGAATCGTACACCTGAGACTTGGGTAGCATGCAAACTCCACCTCAGTAAAGTTTTTTAAAAACAACAACAAAAAGGTGACTGACACCTCAGAACCTCCAAGTGGGGGCAGCGGCGGGCACTGCCTGCTCCTGCTGGCGGGAACTGGGTGGGCTGAGCCCCCGCAGGCAGTCCTCCCGGGAAGGCCTGGCTGCCAATGCCTGGACACAGCTATCTGGGTGACCGGGCTCCACGACATTTGCATAGGATGCAGCAGGGTAGCCACAGCACGCCCCTTTCTCAATCTCATTTCTGCAACTCAAATAAGAAAATCTTAAACAAATAAACCAACAAAAGGAGTGACACACGGAGCTCCTGGCCGGGGTGCAGGGCTGTCTTGAGCCCCCAAGGATCTCTGTGCAGACAGGCTCTTGGCCCACACCACTGCCCAATCCTCCTTCTGATGGGCTGTGACCCAGGGACACTTCTGTAGGCATCGTCCTGCACGGGTGGAATGGGAGGGCTGAGGCCAGGCCAGGCAGCGTCCTGTACACTCAGGAAGACCCCATGACTTCGCAGGGGGTGGCAAGGACCCAGGAAATGTCCATCCCCCATTTTATCCACAACAACACTGAGGAGCCCTCAGGTCCTGGCTTTTACACCCCTCCCCCACGGGCCCATTGCCCCCTGTGGTAGGTAGGCCATTCTTGCATTGCTATAAAGAAACAAACTGAGACTGGGTAATTTATAAAGAAAAGGGGTTTGATTGGCTCAGGTTCTGTAGGCTACACAGGAAGCATGGCACTGGCATCTGCTTGGCTTCCGGTGAGGCCTCAGGAAGCTTTCAATCATGTCGGAAGGCACAGGAGGAGCCCATGTGTCGCACAGCAAGAGCGGGAGGGCAGGTGGCAGGTGGAAGATGCCACAGACTGTTTCCCAGCTCTCTCGAGAGCTCACTGACTATCACAAGGACAGCACCAAGCCAGGAGCCACCCCTATGATCCAGCTCCTCCCACCAGGCCCCACCTCCAGCACTGGGGACTACATCCCCACATGAGACCAGAGCGGGACATCCAAGCTATATTGCCCTCTTCAACAGGGAGGAGCAGAGGCTGCACACTGTGTGCTGCTCAGAGCAGCCAGAGACCAACAGCAAACGAAAAGGAGAAACACCAACACCAAACGAAAAGAAGGAGAAACACCAACACCAAACGAAAAGAAGGAGAAACACCAACAGCAAACAAAAAGGAGAAACACCAACACCAAACGAAAAGAAGGAGAAACACCAACACCAAACGAAAAGAAGGAGAAACACCAACACCAAACGAAAAGAAGGAGAAACACCAACACCAAACGAAAAGAAGGAGAAACAGAGCCAGCACAAGGCGGGACCAACCCTGGGCGTGTTCAACAGAGCCCTGCAGCTCTATAATGTTTTAGTTATTAAAGTGAATGTGGCCAGGCATGGTGGCTCACACCTGTTATCCCAGCACTTCGGGAGGTCACGGCGGGCAGATCACCTGAGGTCAGGAGTTCAAGACCAGCCTGGCCAACATGGCGAAACCCGATCTTTACTAAAAAAAATATATAAAAATTAGCTGGGCGTGGTGGTGCATGCCTATAATCCCAGCTACTCTAGAGGCTGAGGCAGGAGAATCGCTTGAACCTGGCAGGTGCAGGTTGCAGTGAGCCGAGATCGCGCCATTGCACTCCAGTCTGGGTGAGAGTGAATGAGACTCTGTCTCAAAAATAAAAATAAAAAATAAAAAATAATAAAGTTAATGTAAGAATAAGGGGAACTTTGAAAAAGCAGTTTTCTTATCATTTAAGGCTTATTGGTGTAACTACATCTCCTTAAACCATTAAAACCATAATCAATGATTTAGGGTGAGTGATTCTTCCAAACACCTTAAACTTCTTGAAAGCAAACAAAACACACAAACATATAAACTGGGTTCCACACAATCAGGGTTTGCGTCATCTATTTGTTTCTCTGCTTGTGTAAACCACCCTAGCTTATAACACTGCCTGTTTTGAAGACTTCTTGGAGTTTAAGTAATATTACGTTCATACTTTGCTGGGGTTACAGAAGACCTTTGTGACCCAAAGGAAAAATGTTACCTTTTCAGCCTAATGGTGATTATGGGATGAATAATCCACCTATTGGCTGATTTTTAACTTAAAAAAATGTTTTCGAGACAGGCTCTCACTCTGTCACCCAGGCTGGAGCGCAGTGGCACCATCCTGGCTCACTGCAACTTCAAACTCCTGGACTCAAGCAGTCTTCCCACCTCAGCCTCTTGAGTAGCTGAAACTGCAGGCATGTGCTACCACACCTGGCCAATTTTTTCTTCATAGAGATAGGGTCTTGCTCTATTGCCCAGGCTGGTCGCAAACTCCTGGCCTCCAGTGATCCTCCCATCTCAGTCTCTCAAAGTGCTGGATTACAGGCATGAGCCACAGGGCCCGGCCAATTTTTGACTTTTTATTAGGAAATTGCCAAATATATACCAACGGAAAGCAAAGTATACTAAACACCCTGTACCTGTCAGCCCTGCAGCCCTCATCACAGTGGCTGGTGACCAGTGGCCTCTCATCTGTACCCCATGGCACCCTGAGCCCCGTCCCCACGCGAGCACCACTGGCGTATTTTGAAGTAAATCTCTCCTTGCACCACCAACAGTGCAGCAGAATCTCTAAATGACAGCTCTTTCTAAAAAATAATCACGATCCCATTATCACACCCCAAAATAAGTAATTCCTTCATACCACCAAAGTTCCCAACTGCCTCATCAATGCTTTTGGTAGCCTCTGTCTGTTTGGTTAGTTTATGACAATCAGGGTCCAGGCAAGGTCTGCGTGCTGTGTTTGGCGGCTAGAGCTCATCTACCTTTTTTTTAATCAACAGACAAGATTCCTTCTCTTTTTCCTTTCATTGATTTGTTGAGGACAGGACACCAGGTTGTTGCCGGGTCTCATGGCCTGTGTGTGGCTGGGTGCAGTTCAGCACATTCCCCTCTGTGCCTGGTACACCAGTGCGTAGAACCAGAGGCTGGCCTCATTCAGGCTGGTCCCAGTGGGGCCGTGTGATTCCCAGCACGTCCCATCCGAAGGCGCACGGCGTCTGGTTGTCCCTGTCCTTCTGATTAGATCGATTGGGGTCCATCTATGGCCAGCCTGCCTCACACCGTGAAGGCCCCCGACAGCCTGTCGCCTCCTAATTTCTGCAGCCATTGAGGACCAATGCCCACATCTGAGATTTCACTGGAAGTTGCAAAATGGCAATATTTTAATTCATTCTTCATTTATTAGCTAACTTTTTTTTTTTTTCTTTTTGAGACGGAGTCTCTCTCTGTCGCCCAGGCTGGAGTGCAGTGGTGTGATCTCGGCTCACTGCAAGCTCCACCTCCCGGGTTCACGCCATTCTCCTGCCTCAGCCTCCCGAGTAGCTGGGACTACAGGCACCCGCCACCACGCCCGGCTAATTTTTTGTATTTTGAGTAGAGACGGGGTTTCACTGTGTTAGCCAGAATGGTCTCAATCTCCTGACCTTGTGATCCACCCACCTCGGCCTCCCAAAGTGCTGGGATTACAGGCATGAGCCACCACGCCCGGCCTATTAGCTAACCGTCTATGAAGAACTTTCCATCATCAACTCTTTGTTTGCCAGGACAAGCAGGATACATACTTGATTCTGTCCCTTTATGAGTTTTCAGAATAAGGTGATCCCCCACCTTTTTCAAGGTGAAGGAGTTATTAATCACCTTTTAAAAAATACCCATGACGGCAAGCAGCGGTGCAGGCCATGCAGCATAAGGCAAGGTGGCCTGGGTGTGCAGAGGCCACAGCCACGGAGGGAGTCCAGGGAGGAAACCGCGCCATGGAGACCTCAATGAAGCCAGGGCCTGAGCCTGGCAGGAAAGGGGACGTCACGTACCAAGGTCCCGAGGCAGGGGGGACCTGAAGATGGACGTGTGGTACAGGTTACCTGGCACAGCAAGGGAGGTGGCTGGAGCCTGAGGGACGGCCACACGGGCAGAGAAGACACTCGGGGCTCTCGTCTCGGCTCCCATTCTGCCTGCGCTGGAGCTGCAGCTGCTGCCCGGGGCACGGAGAATTCGAGGGAGAGGCTTTCCAGGCAAGTCCAGGGGAGTGAGAGACACAGAAGTTAAGGGTCCCTTGAATGGTGATTAACATGACAGCCATGCAACCTGAACAGAGAAGAGGGAAGGGAGGGCCAGGGCAACAGCACCCCAGGGCCATGGGAAGCCAGCAGGCGTTGTGGCTGAGCTGGGGAGAACAAACACCGTGAAGGGGCCACTGAGGGGCCCAGCCAAGGCAGCCAGGCTGGCTGGACAGTTCGGGAGGGCCTCATGGGCAGCTCTGAGGCAGGGGCGATGCGTGGCGGCAGCTTCACGGTCCCTGAGGGGCAGTGCCATCTCCCCAAGGCTGCGAGCCAGGGCTTCCCTGTGCCCCCCACTGTTGCCCCTTCTATGCCCCTAGCCCTTCTGATGAGTCAGCTGGTGCCAGGTAGGAGGGGGGATAATTTACAACCAACATTTGCATTTTAACAGGAACGTCCTTGAGACAATTTCCTAAAGCAAAAGAGCGACTGTGGTGTTATCAGTAGCCACCATGTAGGCGTCAGCTCCTTAGTCCAACTGCCAGCCCCTGAGCCACTGTTTTCCCCTTTCGTGGAAGAGGAAACTGAGGCTGAAGGTTGAGCAGCATGCCAAGATTCCACGAGAGGGCAGCCGGAGCCCAGCCACCCTCCTCCAGTGGCTGCCACACCCTGGGGGACCTCACCAATCCCTGCCACTACCCCTACCCACTGCAGCCTAGCCCTTGGGTGGCAAGAGAGGGCAGGGTCAGCAGCATAGCTGGATAAACCGACCATCAGCAGAGACCCTGGGACCCCTCAGCCATCGCCTGAGGGAGGCTCCTCCGGATGGGACCAGCTGGCCTAGTGGCTCTGGCCAGGGCTGCAGGGAACAGGATGCTCCCTCTCAGAAGCCGACTCAGCTCTGCCACGCGGCTCAGCTCTGCCATGTGACTCAGCTCTGCTACGTGGCTCAGCTCTGCCACAGGGCACAGGATGGAATGCCCCAAGATGCCGCAATGCTCCTCCTGGTCCTCCAGTTACGCGGCCTCCCCTTGGATGTTTCTAACAGTATACGTGTGCTTGTTTCTGGGGCTCCCCCGAGTGGGAGCCTGGGAAGGACCAGCCGTCCACAGGGCCCTCGGTCTCTGCCCCAGCCGGTGGTAAAGTGTGGCTGCGGCTGTGCTACCACCTCCAGGTGAGGGGCCAGCCACAGGTGGTCTTTTGTGTGATGGGCTGTCTAGGGAGGCCCTGCTGCCCATGGGTGCCATCGATTTGCAGTGCAGGGGCCCATATGACCCTGGAGGAAGGACGTCCTGTGAGCCTTGAGCCTGTGCAGCAGCCCAGATCAGAACCACACACTGGAAACCCCCTTCAGCTAAGGTGGTCTCTCCCCCAACACAATCCCCCTGACCAAGACTTCCTGACGTCCTGAGGGTGCGTCTGCCTTCCAAGGCGAACATCTCACACCAACTCTGCAGCCAGCAAGTTTGCGTTAGAAGCTGGAAGCCTGCTGTTGGGGGAGCAGACCAGGACTCCTCACACCCCAAGAGTGGCTGCTAGACACTCCCTAGCATGCCCCGTGCCTGTCTGACCCCATGAAGCCTGACCCTGATCGCCGAGTGTGGCTGACTTTCTGAGCCCCTAAGGAAAAACTCCAGAGTGACCCTTAAACTTTGTAAAGGGCAAAGAGGCCTGTGGGCGGAGACGGGGGAGGGGTTTCTGCTGGGTCCTGCCTGAACAGGTCTGAGGCCAAAGGATCCCTAGGGCCGTCCTGGGTCAGAGTGAGGGGGGGCACACAAGCCCTCAGGACCCACCAGGCGAGTCCAGGGAAGGCCCATGAAGGTGGCCACCGTGAGCCTTGTGGTCCACAGGGCCAGGCTGGCACATGCTGTGTTCTCACCCAGAAAGGCCGTTCCAGCTCCTTCTGGACTCCTCCTCCTCCTCCCCAGTGTTCTCTGTCTCTCTGCCCACCCCGCTCTCTGTCTCCCTCACACACAGAGTATAGAATTGTGGGGAGATGACTCTGTATTTCCTCATCGTGCATTTATCACAGTGACTCATCCATCTGTGGCTGCTGGGTGACTGGCAGGGTTTGCGTTGAGCTTCCGAGTGAGGTTGATTCGGAAGAGGAAGGCATGACTGCCTGGCTATTAGCAGAATGTCCGGCGTGGGCAGTGCCACCCAGCTGTCGACACTGACACCCAGGCAACCCTGACAGGTGGCCACAGGGGGATGTGTGTGTACGCAGAGTTTCTCAGGACTCAACCTTCTTAAAAAGGAGGTTTGCAGTGAAGAGCACAGGGGTACCCATCGGGAGAGGACGGAAATGCTTCCATCAACCCACTGGGTTTGGGGAACAAAGCAGAAGTGTGTTAGGGCAGGTGTCAGACCACCTGCGAACCCTGGGCTGCTGGAGGCCTGGCCTCTTGCACGAGCCTCTATCCACTCAGATTCACGGCAGGATCTGCCCCCGACAAAGGACTTCACCTGGACCGAGCTCCTGGGCCCCAAGCAGCTGACATTTGATTCTCGCAACAACTGTGCAGTAAGTGTGGTTACAGCCCCCACTCCGTGCCCAGAAAGTTCCACCATCTGACCAGGCAGGCGCAGAGACCCATGGCGGGGCAGGGCAGAACCCCCCGCCCGTGAACATCTCCCGCCCCAGCTTCCCTTTGCGGGGCGCCGCAGCACTCCTGGGTTCTCCCCCTCCGCGGGGCGCCACAGCACTCCTGGGTTCTCCCTCCAAAGGGGAAGAATGATGGAGACGGCGAGAATCTGCATGTGCCCGTGGCTGGCAACTGCTTGTGAGAAGGAGACCAAAGTCATCGGCTCATATCAGGACTTCCACCTGGCCTCTCCCGGAGGCCACCTCGCTTGGACAAACTCAAGTTTCCAACTGAACTAGGAGAAGAGCAGATGCTTGCTTGAAAGAGGGATCTGTCCCAGGCAGACTGGCCCACATTTCAGTGGCAGGGCAGCAGCCCTTCCTGAGATTCTCTCTGAAATGATTTTTTGACTAGGATGTGGAGAAGACACACAGAAAGAGAGGTCTTTCCGAAGCAGTGAAATTTTACAACAATTCAAAGCTGCTACCACTTGCTTTGGCTGGGATCCAGCTACTGAAATCCAGAGACATCTATGAAAACACCCCTAATGTGAACCTGCTGCCCGAACTCCAGCTCACTCCCTTGTCCTGTGGAGCACGGACTCCCAGGAGTGGTGCTCTATAGCCCCAGAGAGCACCCAGGCCAGCCAGCTGATTTCACCCATCTCTCTCTCAAACACACGTGCACACACACACACACACACACACACGCACACAGCACTCCCCTGCCACACACTATCACTCACACATGCTGACACACAAAGGCATCCAAATTGGAAAAGAAGTAAAATCCTCTGTTTGTACACCGAAAACTAAAGATTACACACACACACACATCTGCTAAAACTAATAAATGAATTCAGCAAAGTTGCAGCATACAAACTCAACCTGCAAAAATCAAGCTCATTTCTATACGCTAACAAATGGCAACCCAAGAACAAATGAAGAAAGCAAGTCCATTTGTAGCATCAAAGTGAATGACACACTTAGAAATTAAACAAGGAGGTGAACGATTTCTACAATAAAAACTACAAAATGTTGCTGAAAGACATTAAAAAAGACATTAAAAGACATCCCATGTTCATGAATTGGAAAACCTAATATTGAGATGTTAATACTACTCAAAGCAATCTATAGATTCAACGCAATAACTACCTACCTAAATCCAACAGCACTTTTTAAAGAAATTTTAAAATCCATTCTACAATTCATATGGAATTGCAAGGGACTCTGAATAGTCAAGACAATCTTTTTTTATTTAAAAAACTTTTTTCCATCTTTTTTTAGAGACAGGGCCTTGCTCTGTCACCCAGTCTGAAGTGTAATGGCATGATCATAGCTCGCTGTAGCCTCGACCTTCTGGGCTCAATTGATCCTCCTGCCTCAGCTTCCTGAGTAGTGCGATCTCAGCTCACTGCAACCTCCGCCTCCCAGGCTCAAGCAATTCTCCTACCTGAGCCTCCCAAGTAGCTGGGACTACAGGTGCACACCACCACATCCAGCTAGACGGGGTTTCACCATGTTGGTCAGGATGGTCTTGATCTCTTGACCTCGTGATCTGCCCACCTCTGCCTCCCAAAGTGCTGGGATTACAGGTGTGAGCCACTGTGACTGGCCAATTTTTTTAAAATTGTTTATTGTAGAAACAAGGTCTCTATGTTGCCCAAGCTGCTCTCAAACTCCTGGCCTCAAGCAATGTTCCCACCTCAGCCTCCCAAAGCCCTGGGATGACAGGAGTGAGCCACCACGCCCGGCAATCAAGGCAATCTGGAAAGAATAAAGTTGGAAGACTCACACTTTCATATTTCAAAACTTACTACAAAGCTACAGTAATCAATGGAGTGTGATACAGGCATGAAGACAGACATATGGACCAGTGGAATACAACAGTCCAGAAATAAACCCTGGCATGTATGGCCAGATGATTTTTGATGAGAGTATGAACACCATTTAATGGGGAAAGGACAGTCCTTCCATCAAATAGTGCTGGGAAAATTGGAAATCCAGTTAAATTTTTTAAAAAAGTGAAGTTGGATCTTTACCTTACACCGTATACAAAAATTAACTCAGCCAGGCATGGTGGCTCACACTTGTAATCCTAACACTTTGGGAGGCTGAGGTGGGAGGATCACTTGAGGCCAGGAATTTGAGACCAGCTTGGGCAACATAGTAAGACCCCATCTCTGTCTGTAGTCCTAGGTACTCACCTGAACACATGTGGTCCATCCACAAAATGGGATATTACTCCGTTTTTAAAAGTAGGGAAATTCTGACACATGCTACAACATGGATGAGCCTTAAGGTTTAAGATGGTAACATTTTTTTTTTTTTGAGATGGAGTCTTGTTCTGCCGCCCAGGCTTGAGTGCAGTGGCACGATCTCAGTTCACTGCAACCTCCACCTCCTAGGTTCAAGCGATTCTCCTGCCTCAGCCCCCTAAGTAGCCAGGACTACATGTAGCCATCAACACGCCCAATTAATTTTTTGTATATTTAGTAGAGATGGGGTTTCATCATCTTGCCCAGTCTGGTGTCAAACTCTTGACCTCAAGTCATCCGCCCGCCTTGGCCTCCCAAAGTGCTGGGAATACAGGCATGAGCCACCGCACCCAGCCACAATGGTAAAATTTGTATTGTGTATTTTACAGTAATAAATATGCCAAAGGCTAAAAAAAATAAAGGTACAGTGGCCAGAGGAAGAAGGGCCCAACCTGGAATTGGAGCAGAGCTGTGGGTGGGTGAAGACCCCGTGGTAGGCAATGCATTTTAGCTGATGGGGTGCAGTAGTGTGTGCCGGGCAAAGCGGACAGTTCCAGCTCCCACATCCAGGCTGCAGGGCCTTCATCCACCCAGCTGGGAATGCCTGCTCACTCTGCAGGAATGTGCAGCTGCTACTCACCCCGTCTTGTGACCACCAGCAAATGGTTTGTTGGTGTTAAGCTGTGGCCTCAGCCACCTCAACAGGGCCCTGTCTGGCCATGGAGACGTTCCCCAAGTTCCAGTCATTGTCAGCTGCTGGGACACTGCGGTACTGAATCAGCCCGTTGGAGTCATCCAAGTGTGAAAAGGTACCTGAATGAGGGCAGCCTGGGGACAGGAGAGCTTTCTGGAACATGGGGCAGGAAGGTAGCCTGGACTTCTGAGACACAGCCACTGGCCCTGGCCCTGGCCCTGGCCCAGTGCCCGGGAGCAGCCTAGCCTCCTCCTCCCAACACCCCTGCTCCCAGGCGCCAGGACAAGGGGCCAGAGGAGACCCAGATGGCCCAGATCCAATCCTTCCATGGTCCCCTGGGTGGGGCCAGTGCAGGGACCTCCCGGAAGCCACTGCTGTCTCCATCGCCACCCAGACTCAGGCCAGTCTGAGAACCCAGGATTAGGAAGTCATCTCTGAGATGATCGGGTTAACACTTTCACGTGGTGGGTTAACATCTGCTGTTATAAACTTCACCGTAAACACACACTGTGCCTTAAGACGTTAGCTAATGAGAATACAACAAACACATAATTTTAAATGTACACACACACACACAAATAGCTGGGTGTGCAAACATTTTTTACACTTTACACAAAAGAACTCGGTGGCTTCTAGGCTGGAAGACGAGGCCCTCTGAGTCCTGTTGGGAGCGTGGGGTGTGATCCTGGGACAGAAGCCTTCAGCTGAAGGGGTGGGCAGGATGGAGGCCCTTCCACCAACAGAACCCTGAAAGGGACTTGGGACAAATGGCCAGCCTGCCCGCAGAGGGCCTGGAAGGGCAGGCCGGGAGCAGAGGAGGCTGCTGTCTAAATATGAGGCGCTATTCCTGGCGGCCACATGTTCACATTGCCCACAGAGCCCAGAGGGCAGCTCCGGACACAGCCAGGCCTGGGGGAGGGGCGAGCCTGGTATTATGGGAGAGGGTGGTCAGAATGCCACCAGCCAGGACTGATGCAGGGTGAGGACAGGGGACCAGGCCTCCTCCCACCTGTGACTCTCCCTGTCCTGCCCACCCACCCACGGAACCACAGGAATGTGCTAGGGATTGCAGGGGATGTTGTGCCCACTCTGCTACCTTCCATCCCTGTGCACTGCCCTACCAGCCCCCTCCCCGCACCTGCTGCAGGGGCCCCGGGGGTGCCAGGGCCTGCCCAGGTCCCAGATCCAGACTTTCAAGGTGTGCAAATCACAGGATTTGTCCTAACAAGAGGGAGGGAAGCTTCCAATGTCATCTCCCTGCATTTCTGAGCCACCGAGGACTTCAGAATCACTTAAAGGTAGTGCAATTCACCCCCAAATCACTTACTTTTCCAAAAATTGGGGCCAGCTAGGGGGTGTCTGGGATGCAGCGGAAATCACCTATGGGGAAGTCAGTGCTGTAACAACAATGCTGGCTTGATCCCTTCCTGCCCCCCACCTGCTCACACACCACACACTCATACCACACACTTATACCACACTCACAGCACACACCACACTTATACCACACACGCTCACACCACACATGCACACTCACACCAAACTCATCACAGCCACATCACACACCATACATGCATACACGCCACACTACATGCACACATATCACACACAGCACACATGTATACCACACGTGATCACACTTATACCACGCTCACCCCACACACTCCACGCACCATACATGCACACACATCACACATATACCACACACACACCCACACACCACATTCACACCCTACACAGCCCACACACACGCTGACACCACACACACCCCAAACACACCATACATGCGCAGACACCACACAACATACATGCACACACCACACACTGCATTCACACTACACACATATACCACACACATACCCTCACACCACACACGCGCACACACACTCTACATACCACACATGCACCCCCCACCCCTCACACACACATGCATACCACCTCCCACCACCCTACACACATAACAGGTTATTCATTCTGGGTGACGGGAATATGGGGGTTGCTCTTATTCACTGTACTTTTTGACTTTCCATACTTCTCCAAATAGAAATAAAAGAGGAGGGCGGAAGAGGAGGAGCAAATTGGGAGTAAAAGAGCAGGTGCTGGGAGCTTCCCGTGGCTCAGGGGTGGCTTCTGGAACGGGAGAGAGCAGGTGACAGCGATGAGGTAGGTCTGCAGAGGAGCCGTGTGCAGGAGCAGAGATGGAAGGGCCAGCGCGCAGGCAGCCTTCGGACTCGGCTGCCCAGCTGGGAGGGCTGTGTCTGCACTGACACGGGTGTCAACAGCAGGGGCGACCTAGAGCGAGTCTGTAAGAAGGAAGGCCGCGACGCCTGCAGGGACCCAGGCCCTCCCAGCCTTAGCACAGCAGCGCTCCTGGCCAAAAACCCAAGTGCCTGCTGCTCACTGTCTCAGAACCCACTTCGAGTACAGAAACATGTCTGTGCATGCACGTGTCTACACAGGTGTGTTTCTGGGGTGTGAACACAGTGCATGTGTACACACACACGTGTATGTGTGTGCATCTGTGTGCCTGGTTCAGGATGTATGTGCACGGACAGCATATGCACAGGGAACACGCTTGTGCCTGAGTGCGCTGGGGTCAGTGGTGCTGGCCAAGTGAGAATGGGGGTGGGCATGAGGGTGCTGGGCGGGGCCAGGGCAGGAACTCATGGAACTGGAGGCCTGTCTTCCCCCTGATACATTCCAGAGGCGGGAGGGGGTGGACAGAGTCTGGGGGCTACTTCTTCACCCCAAGCGCTGCCCTCTCAGAGGACCCAGTAGAAACCCACACAACACCCAGTCTCTGTCTGAGGGGAGGATGGGGTGGGAGGACCCCCTCTAAGTGCACTGTGACTTTGGGAAACACACTTGTTCCCCCTTATCCGCGGTTTCGCTTTCCATGGTTCAGTGTCCTGAGGTCAACTGCAGTCTGAAAATATTAAGTAAAAAATTCTGGAAATAAACAATTTATAAGTTTTTTCAATTGCCTGCCATTCTGAATGGCGTAATGAAATCCCCTGCCGTCCTGCTCTGTCCCACCAGGGACGTGTAGCATCCTTTATCCAGCATCTCCACAGTGTCTATTTGACCTGCCTGCTAGTCACTCTGTAGCTGTCTTTTTTTTTTTTTTTTTTTTTTTTGAGACGGAGTCTTGCTCTGTACCCAGGCTGGAGCACAGTGGCACGATCTCGGCTCACTGCAACCTCTGCCTCCCAGGTTCAAGTGATTCTCCTGCCTCAGCCTCCAGAGCAGCTGGGATTACAGGCGCACGCCACCACACCTAGATAATTTTAGTATTTTTAGTAGAGATGGGGTTTCACTATGTTGGCCAGGCTGGTCTCAAACTCCTGACCTCAAGTAATCTGCCTGCCTCAGCCTCCTAAAGTGCTGGGATTACGGGATTATGGGTGTGAGCCACCGCGCCCAGCTGTAGCTGTCCTGATGATCAGAACAAGTGTTGTGGTATCACAGCACCTGTGTTCAAGTAACCCTCATCCTAGTTAATAACAGCCCCAAATCAGAAGAGCAGTGATGCTGGCTTATTGTTCTAATTGTTCTACTATTAGCTATTGTTGTTAGTCTCTTACTGTGCCTAATTTATAAATTAAACTTTACCACACATACGCATGCAGAGGACAAAACATGGTCTATCTAGGGTTCTGTCTAGGGTTCAATGCTATCTGCGGATTCAGGCATCCACCGGGGATCTTGGAATGCATCCCCTGAGGATAAGGGAGGGCACTGCACCTGGGCACTGTGGCTCCAACTGCTGTTCGTCTGTCATGTAGTGACTGACAGGGCTGACCTCATCTTAACCTGCTTACGTCGGTAAAGACCCTCTTTCTAAACAAGGTCACATTTACAGGCACTGCGGGTTAGGAATTCAGTATCAAGGGGATACAGTTCGATCCATAAGTAAGTAAATTCCCAAGTAAATATGTAACCTCAGATTGAGAAGTGCTCTGGAGAAAATAGGGGAATTCACCAAGGCAACCTAATTATGTTCCAAAATATTCAGAACACATTGCTATTGGAAGACCGTTCTCTATCCTTCCACCTGGACTGGCCTCTGTCCCTCTATCCTCAAACATCCCCTGAGGACTCAGCGTTTCATTCCTTGCTGCCCACGTACAGCCCTGGGGCTCTTTGCTCTGCTTCTGGGGTCTCACGCGGAACTCTGAGGAACATGGACGGCCGTCACAGGAACCTCAGTGAGCCCCGAGCAGGCTGGACAGCAAGGGCAGGGGACTGAGGCTCAACAACCAGCCCCTCCCCCAACAGGCCATGGCAGCTCAGCAGACACTCCCATGCTGCCTCCCAAGGCCAAAAGAGGACGTGTTTGCAAAGGGTGTTGTCCTTCCCCTTGCCTGCAGTGATTCAGCCAGCTGAACGAGAACTCGTGGTCACCTTAGGCAGCCACGCTGGACAAAAAAAACAACATGCAACCAAAAGTCCCCTTTGTCCTCGTTCACAATGCTTCTTGCCTAAATTACCCACGTCTGCTGGAAGACTCGGGCGCATTTCGTCTGTACCGAGAGCAATCAGGAAGTTTGGGGTCTGTGGTGCTCCCCAGCACAGCAAGCCCCAGGGCTACAGGGGAGTCGTTAGCTCCCAGGCCAGGGCTCTGTGGACACTGCGAAGACCGGTGCCTGCTGCAGGTGGAGCAGCTGTGAGACCTCCTGGCTCGTCTTCCCAGGGATGCGGGCTTTAATTTTCCATCCTGGCTGCCGTCCCCTTCCATGACCTGCGCTTATGAATGGCCATGTCCAACAAGTGGCATCACCCCCTCCCACTGTCTCCAAGGAGCCTGCTCTGGGGAACGCTATCTTGTTTTTCTAAAGAGCCACGTCTACAAGCAAAGAGGAAGGTGTGTGGTGCCTTCCAAAGTGCTAGCTGCCGGGAAAGGACACATCCCTCACACCTCCTTTTTGAGCTGCAGAAAATGCAGCTCAGAGATGCCAAGTGAGCATCGCACTCAGGAATGCGCTGTGCCCTCCGTGGAGTCAGACTTTGGCCTCTTAAGCAAGAGCAGGAGAAGACGAGGGGGTGGGCAGCAGCCAGGGGCAGGCGCTGGCACAAACAGATGAGGATCTAAATCCACCTGCTGGTCACACAGCCCTGAGCTGGTGCCTCGCCCCTCACAGCCCCTGCTGCAGGTATATAAAGCTGGGCACGGGTGGACAGGACGCAAAGCAGTGATATGTGCCTCCAGTCAGCCCTGAAGGCCAGGGTGGCAGCTTCCCCTAAGAACAGAGGGCGCCTGGGTGGCTGCCCCAAGAGAACAAAGCAGTGCAGACCTGCAGCTCCCCCTGCAGTGAACAGAGCTCTCTGCAAACGTTCTCTGACAGCAATGTACCGAAATCTCTTCCTAACTCAAGTTTACAAAAATTTTGTTTTCTTCTAGAAATTTAATAGTGTTAGATCACATATGTGGGTCTACGATCTGTTAAGGTTCTGTATGCAGTGAAAAGTATGCAGTTCCACTTTTGTGCCAGTGGATACCCAATTGTCTCTGCTCCATTGTTAAAAAGACTTCCCTTTTCCACTGAATTGTCTTTGAATCTTTGTTGGAAATGTGTGTCTGTATCTGTGGGTCTATTTGTGGACTCATTGTGTTCCACTGATACACTGTCTATCCTAATTTCAACACCACACTGGGATTATGGTAGGTTTATGGTAGGGAGGCCTTCGCCTCTGGCCTGGGGTGTTGACGGAAGCTGCTCCCAGGCAGTGGTTCCTGGGGACAGTAGGGGCAGCAGGACCCCGCTGGCCCGCTCTGCACCTTGGGCCGCCTGCCTCTGCTTCCGCTTCCCGCCACCTTTGCTCCACAAGGTCACAGCCCAGGAGACGAGGCAGACTCCTCCAGATTTATGTCCAACACCCAATCTGGGTTTCTGAAGAAACTTCTCTCGGAAACGCCCAGCTTCCCCGGTTTCCTTTGTTCCCAGAACCGGCAGGGAGCAGAGACAAGAATCATGAGCCTCCCAGCAGCCTGGGCCCTGGGGGAACGCCACCACCCTGCTGTGCTTCACATTCCCCAGCCACAAACGGGGACAAGTCTCCCTTCCCCTCCTGGATCCTGCACTCTGTCCTGGAACCTTCCAGAGAGAACAGGCCCAGAGCCTGCAGAACCTGTGTCACCCAGAACCCCCACTGGCTGCACGGGAGACTCGCTGGGGCTTTTGAAGGCCTACACAGTTCTCTGGCTGTGGTGTGAGGAGTGGTGGAGGCTGCAGGAGGACTGAGGGCCTCCGCTGCGGAGAAACCAAGGAAGGAGGGGTGCTGCCTGCCATGAGGTGGCGCTCAGCCTGCCAGCGCCCACATCACAGGGGCTCCCATCCGCCCGCCTGCCCCGGAGCTCGCCCGGCCTCCATCTCCCCGTCTCGGGACATGGTGACTGCGCCCTCACCTAGTTGCTCTGAGGATAGAAAGCAATCCACCGAAGCCTCATGCAGGCACACAGGGTGGACACGCTCAGAACATAGGCCTGGCAGGCAGCCCCTACCAGAGCCAGGCATTCGTTCACACGCATCAGCCATTCTGGGGGAGGAAGGAGGAGAGGCCCCAACTTTACAAGCCCCGTGCCCGCAGATGAGGGGAAGAAGTAAAGATGGAGGCTGTGGGTCCCCATGTGGCGGGGCCCTCTGTACTCCTGCCCCGCCGTGGCGGATAATGGGAAACCGCAAAGGAACACACTGTGGCCGTTTCTTCGGGATGGACCCGCGCGTCCTCACTGCCTTTCTCTCGGGATCCTGGGGCTCAAGTGAACTGATGCCATCCTTGGTTCATCGTTTGTTCATGTAAGGCTCCCTTGTATTTTCATCCGTTCATTTTAATAACGTGATGAGCACTTGTGAACCTACCCCACTCCAAGAAGTGGACAGCAGAGAAAGCAATCAACATGCTTCTTTCTCTCCCATTCCCACCCTGCCTGGCAACCTCCATCTGGAGTTTTCTCCTTCTCCTTTTTCTTAAAAGTTTTAACACATATACACACACTTGCTGAAAAACACACGGCTTGTTGTGCTTGTTTCCAAGCTGTATGGGACGGAGTCACACAGAGTCTTCGGGACTTGTCATTTTCACTCAGTCTTAACGCTATGCAGCACTGGTGCTGTCGCTGTGGCCTTCGCTCACCGTGGCCAGAGCTGTGTGGGGTTTCCGCGTGCAGCACGCCATGAAGTGCTCCTTAACTCTGGGATGGCACTGGGCTGTGTCTGGCTTGGGGCTGCTCCCAACAGAACTGCCCTGAGATGTGAGCACATGCTCGAGCTTCTCCTGGGGGTGCCTGCAGGGAACCTGCTGTAGAAAGGGCACATGATGTTCAACGTCACACATAGTGCCAAACGGGTTTCCCAAATATTCAGACCGCTGCTCCCCCAGAAGCACTGGGAGAGAGCCACATCCCGCTCAGGCTCGACAGGTTGGACTTCCGAGGTTCGGCCAATCTGGTGGGTGCACAGTGGTCTCCTTACCATCCAGGTTTGCGTGTCCCTGGAGACTAATGTGGTTGACCATCTCTTCCCATGTTTGCCAGCCAAATCACTGAGAAATGCCTGCCAGTCACATATGTATGTTTCTCCATTGGGTTGTAGGTCTTTTTTCTTACTGATTGGTAGGATTTTTTATTTAAATTTCTTTCAGGTGGTTTTGGTAAGCATGTGTTCTTAGCTGGCAAACTTTCAGATCGTACCAACCCTTTCCTCTTTGGCTGGCACTCTTGGGTCCTGTTGAAGACTCCTCACTGCTGCAGGTCCGCGGCTATTCGCTTGGTGCCCTGCTCTGGGGAAAGGCAGCCCGGGTCTGCCCCACTCCTGCCGAGTGTGCCGGCTCTTCCTTCGCGGGAGAAACCCTTCCCAGAAAAGCACCACTGGGGAGAGGCCCTGCCTCCTGCTCGTGACTTAGGACACACCACAAGCTCCAAGGGACCCATCTGCGCAAATGACAACCACAAAGGACACCTCTGTGGGGAGTCATTGATCTCACAAGGCAGGGAGGGGCCTCAAGGGGTACCCCAAAACAAACTGAGCAAATGCAAGCTGGACCCAAATGGCAGGGTTCTTCAGTGGCCCAAAGTGGACTGGGGTACCCAGCACTCAGGAGGCCAGTGTGCACCAAAGCCCAGGCTCGGGAGGACAGAGCGTTGGGCAGGGGCAGAGCCGGCCAGACTATGGTGACCACAAGGCCAGGCCGGCCAACTGGCCCCTCACAGGCGCAGTCAGCAAGACACACATGTGGCCTGTGATGACACAGACCCTGGACTGGCACTCGAAGGTCAGAGCCAGGATAGGCCAGCCCTGTTCTCACAGGCCTGTGGCCAGCAGGACAGTGCAGCCTCAAGGAACAAGCGAACTGAAACACCAAGAACAGCCCCGTGGGTGCAGAAGCCCTGGGCAGCATCAGCGTCAGAACAGCTGCTTGCAGACCCACCGCCCCTCCCTCCCTCTCAGCCAAGTAACTCAGTGCTGCAGCATCTGTACAAGATAGAAGCACATCAGTGATGCCCCACAGCCACCGCAGGCCCCCGAGGCACACAGACATGGCCATTCAAAACAACCCACAAGGGCAGGCAAGGCTCTCTCCAGAAGACCACGACTCATCCCATCTAGACAGGCCAGGGCAGAAGCACAACACGCCAGAGGCAAGCACCCACCAAGACAGCCTGGCTCCACCACCCCCCACTCCTTCTGCAGGCTGAGAGACGGCGACAACAGCACCCTGGCACTGCACCACCCTGGACCACTCCTTGCTGTGCCAGGCTAAAGGACAGCCGGTCCTGCCCTCACAGAGCACGCGTGGCAAGGTCTCCACTGCTGAGACAGCAGTCACCTGGCTCTTTCACTTTAAAACGCCCCTGTGAGACTGGAACAGGAATTAAAAGAAATTAAAGAACGTGTAAGCAGAAACTCAGTTGTAAGAAAACCCAATTCCCCCTGAGAAAGAGACAGAGCTGGAGTCCTTTAAAAATTAACTGCCTGTTTTTCTGTGGCTAGTGAGCTTTATCTCTCCCTTTCCCAGGCATTGTGGAGACCCTGATTCCCTAGCTGTGCAGCTGCAAGGTCACAGATAAACTCAAGTCGCAAAACATGTTTCTCCTTAAAAAGTAAGAAATGACATAATGCATGTCTCAATTAATTAAATAACTGTCTTTGTTTCTCGCTTGTGTAATATGCTTCCCCCTGTACAGATCTCCCCCCGCCCCATGAGATGCTTAAAAGGTAACTTAACTCTTTGTTTGGGACTCAGTCGTTTGGATGTTAATCCGACTGGGCTAGTGCACCTAAATAATAAATATCCTCCTGTACCCCATCAGTTTCTCTGATTCCTTAAAAAATCCCGCTACAAGACAGCGGCCGCTCTGGGCTGTGTCTTTCACACTGAGTTCTCTCCCACCCAGCCTGAGGGATCATCTCCCAACTGCTGTGAGCTGAGCCGGTGCTCACAAGACACCTTAGACCCTTCAGGCTTGAGGTCTGTGCACAGCTACCTTCAATGAAGAGCATAAGTCAAGCTGCTCTTCAATGAAGAGCAGATGCCTTTCACTGCTGAATTACCCAGAGAGGAATTCGTGGTTGTGCCCAGGATGGGAAAGGCTTCCAGGAGCCCCAGGGGTGAGGTGTACTCCATACTCAGTGCTGGAAGCCTGGGGCATCAGGAGGCCCCCACTCTGCCCCTCATCCCCGAGTTCCTGGTCGCAGATGCAGCGTCACACCTGAGAGCCAGAGGGAGGTTTCAGGGTGTAATCTAGCCTGTGTGACCCCTTGTTCCTGATGAACACCTGGAACCCAGGCCAGCAGCCTCCCCTGTGCCCACGGAGTAGGCAGTTGCAAATGCACATGCAGGAAGAAGGAAGTCCTTTCTCTTAGATCCCACTCTGAGTTATTGCTGTGGCAACCATTCCTAACGCTCATCTCCTTTTCTCCAGCCCGTCTCAGAAACACGTGGTGAAGCTCCATGATGAAACGCTCTGACCCACTCTGCAGGGTACAGCATTAGCGTTCAGGTCGGCTTCCTGAGCCCAGGAAATGTCCTGGCCCTGGCACAGCAGTGGGTGGCTGGTAGGGCCCTGAGCTAGGCAGGGAGGCCCCTCCTCAGGCTTCTCTGTTCTTTCCCAACCCTGGGAGGAACACCTGGATGGGGCCACCCTCTGTCTACCCCACTGGCCTCAACAGAATGAAAACCAGACTCATGAGATGCTCAAACTCCCAGGCAAGGATCCCCAAGAACGGCAGAGCCCAGCAGGTGAGGCCTCCCATGAACAGCAGAGCCCAGCAGGAGAGGCCCTCAGGAACAGCAGAGCCCAGCAGGTGAAGCCCCCAGAACAAAGGTGTCTGGCAGGTGAGGTCCCCTGAACAACAGTGGTGTCCAGCAGGAGAGGCCCCCGAGGAACAGCGTTGTCTGGCAGGTGAGACCCCCAGGGATAGAGATGTCCGGTAGAAGAAGCCTCCCAGGGACAGAGATGTCCGGTGTCCAGTGTCCAGCAGGCGAGGCCCCCCAGGGACAGAGGTGTCCAGCAGGAGAGTCCCCCGACGAGCATCCTTCTGAATGAGTGCTCCAGAGGAGGCCCCTCTGGAGGTAGGTGGGTACAGTCTGGTGGCGACATCCTGCATGTGCACGCACAAGAGAAGAGCCCATGCAAATCCACAGGGCGAATGCAAAGTCCTGCCGAGGATCCTCTACTCTCTGCCCGGCCCAGGGGTACGTGGGGAAAGTAGGTGAGGTGGCTTTTCTTTCCTATGGACCAGACCCTGCTGTGGGTCAGAGCTAGGGCCTCAGGACAGCACTCCCTCCAGGAGGCAATTATTCTTGAGGAGTCACTCTTCCAGGGCTGTCTTCCCTAGTGTCTTCTGTGAAGCGCCGTTGCTGCTGGTGAGAAGGAGGGGAGAGGAAAGCCATCTTCAGATGCTCAAGAATCTGCCAGGTGTGAGAGGGACCAAAACTCGTCTCTGCAGCTCCCGAAGACATAGCCAGGATGACAGGGGAAGAGTAAGACAAAGGCGTTTTCAACTCCGTGCGGAGAACTTTAAACAGTGAGAACGCTCCAAGAACAGACAGGGTGAGCTGGAGGTTCCTCTCACCTGTGAGTCTTAGATCCACAGCTGCACATCATACTGTCCCTTTTCAGCCCTGTACTGTCCCCTGGGCACAAGAGCTTGCCATCTGCCCTGCATCCTCACACCAGCTGGCATGACCTCCTTGGGACACCCTGTGGATGCCTTCCTTGCCACTGCACACTGTCCCCTGGCCGACGTCACTCTTGACTTTTATACAAGCCTCGGGGAGTCCCTGAACCTCTGACACCTCTGTTTCCTTTACATTTCCTGCAAATTGAAAGTCTGGTCGGGATCAGTGATTCCCAACTCATGCTCCACAGACTAGAAGGGGCTGGACTAGGGTGGCCCGATGGTCAGACGGGCCTGGGAAATGCTGGGCCAAGCAGAGTAAGCAGGTGTCTCTGCTGTGGATTTCTCAGAGCCTTTAACTGGCACCTGTTGTGAATCTCTGAGAGAGCAACAGGGCTTCTAGGCTCCTCTGCCCCTGGTGCCAACTGATCTGCAACATCAGGTAACATCCCTGTGGTGGGTGAGCAGCAACAATCTGGGCCGGTGGTACTGGGGTAAAAGAATTTACCAAGACAGTTGTAGGCAAAGAAAGGCAGATTTATGAGAGAAAGTATGAAAACGCATTCCAAGGTTGCAATGGGCAGAATCAGCAGAAGAGGAGCCAACTGCAAAGAAACAAAGGCTTGCTGGGGATTTTATAGGGTGGTTCTTAGGCTGCAGAGGGCGACGTGCAGAACTAATAACGCCAAGGCAGCCAGGAGCTAACTTGGAGGTGTCTGGCCATAGCTCGGCCCAGGAAGATCATGAGTTACCTGAGCAGGAGGCCTGCGTGTCCTGGACCATGAAGAAAGTCAACTCTATAGCTTATCTGCTTTCTCTTTTTGCTTGCCCTTGGTCCTGCCAGCCTGACTCCTTTTCCCTAATTAGGACTCCACAATCCCAAGAAGCTAACATTCACAGACACAGGCTGGGAGACATCGGCTGACGCAGTTGATGAGGGTCCCTTACGGCACCAACACCGCTTGCTGAGGCTCTGCTGAGACTCAGAAGGTGCCCTTACATGGAGCCAGAGAACAAATCGAGGCCACAGGGGGAAGGCAGGAAGAGCTGCTTCAAAAGAGAAACTTCAGGCTCCCATGAGCCTTTTAACAGCCTCCCTGCAAGGCAGCCACTGACTGATACCAGCCAGGTGATCAGTACAGGAGAGGACGGGGCCCAGGATGGGGCTATCCATCCGGGAGAGGGGGGTGCTTTACAGACTTTTCCAGAAGGTCCCCAGGGGAACCTTCACAATTCAAGGGCAGAAAGGATGTGAGGTCTGGTGAGGTTCCAACAGCCAGAGAGGAGCCAGGCAGGTCTGTTCAGCTTGAGTGCTTGGCCCATCAGCAGCTTGCGTTGGGTCAGAGCCTTCCTCCCTCAGCCCCAACCCCCTCCCTGCTACAGCCCCAAAACAGACAAGTCTGAACAGGTGTGACTAGAGGGAGCCAACAGGCAGGGTCCTTGGTGGGTGACACATGCTCACTCCCGACACTGACTCAGACAGCAGCAGGGAAGGGAAACCCCAAACCATTCAGGCTAGCTGAGTCAGCAGGTACAGTGTGGCCCAGAGCACGGGCTCAGCCCAGCTGACTCCTGGTACCTTGGGGAGGCACTGGGAAGTTTCAGCCAGGGAAGGAATGACTGCTCTGATTTCTATTTCTAAAAGATCCAACAAGCCACTGGAGAGAGAATGACTGAGGGTGGAAAAACAGTCTGGTGAGACAGAAACTGAAGGAGGAAACCAAATGGCTCTGCTGTTTCTGAGTCCACAGGGCCTGGACACAGAACCCCGCTACTCAGTCAAACTCTTACTCTAGGAGTTGCTGGGAGGGCATGTGGTAGCTCCGGGTGACTTCAAGTAAAGGAGCTTGTCCTCAAACATCTGGGTGGACCTCCTGTCAATAGCTGAAGGCCTTGAGAACCACACGGAAACTTCCCTGAGGAAGGAGAGATTCCTCCCATGGACTCAGTGTCAGCTCCAGCCTGAGAGTTTCCAGCCTCCCGCCTGCCCTGGATTTCAGACTTGCCTAACCAGCACCCCCACAGTTGCATAAGCCAGTTCCTCGCCATATATGATGCAGCCACATTAAGCATGAAACATCTGTTTAGCATCCAAATGTGCCAAAGAAAAAGATTTACACTGATCAGAATTTGTTGGCATTTGATGCTGGAGCTGAGTGTGGGGGCTGCTCTGGAGATGGGTCCAGCCCAGGGCAGTGCCCATAGTGAGATACCCAAGAAAGGAGGCCAGCGTGGTTGGAGGAGACCTGGGAGGGAGCTGGCTCAGGCGAAAGGAGGAGGAAGCACTGGTGCTGGGGGCAGGGGAACTTTGACCCCAGTGTATCCGAGTGTCAGGGGAGGCAGGGGGTGGCAGAAGGGGTGCTGGTATCCGAAGGGCAGGAGTGGACTGATGGGGGATGTGTGCTGTCAATGTTTCCTGAGATGGAGCAGCTGTTCCCAGCCACGGTGCAGCTGCATAGGACAGCCCAGAAGAGGCAGAGCTGAGTGACACCAGGGCCAGCTTTGCCAGATAAGCGCAATAGTGGGCAAGCAGTGAGAACATGAAGGGTGTTCCTAACAGAGTGGCTCTAACACGGTGCTGCCATGGAAGTTTTCTAGGGAGGAAGGGGGCCAGCCGGGGTGAGGCACAGGGGGCTGCTGTGCCAATGGGCAGGACCAGCTGTGCCAGGTCCGGGTGTGGGGCCAGCTTGCTGGGATGTGGTCTTAGAACCAGTGAGAAGAAAAGTAGAAACATGCAGGCAAGGGGTTCCCAAAGGGACTTTTCAGAGGGGTGGCAAGGCCAAGGGGCTGGGCGGCCTGGAAGGGCCACCACCAGGATTAGTTCAGGTTGCCCAGAAGCTAGCACCAGGTGGCTGAGGCCACAAAGAGAAGCTGATGAGGGGCGACAGGGGCAGCCAGGGCATTTCCTTTCTGAACTGTCCCCACTCAGATGAAAGCACCATGACTGACACACATCTGTGCACAAGGCGAGTAGCCATGGAGCAGCTCCTCCGAGAGCAGGCAAGGCACGAGAGGCACAGAGAACCCCATTTCAGAGAACCCCATGGTGGCACACTGGGAGAGAAGGCTCCTGACAGAGGGGCTCTGTGAAGCTCTCTGTGGAGTTGCAACTCGCACACGCGTGCACACATTCATACACTCATACACGTGCACACACATGCACAAACCCCCACACACTCACAAGCCTATGTGTGTGCACACACGTGCATACACTCATACGTAAACGCAGCCACCCCCACCCAGCACCAGGTACCCACCCTCGAACTCCAGAGGTTCCTGGGCACAGGTCCTCGAGCCTGTCCAGGGCCCCAGCTCCCAGCTATGCTCATCCCAAATCGCCCTCGAGACTGCCCAGAGCATGACTCCGGCTAGGGCCCCTCTGGGGGCCTCCCTCAGCCTCCTCCAGTTCACAGACCCTTTCCTGATCCTCAGGGCCAGGGCAGATCCCAACCAGTGAACTGGAGAAGAGGGGCTTGGGACACAAGGGGATAAGAAACGAGTGCCCCAAAATGCTGCAGTAACCATTCGCCTCCAACTTGAATGGCCTATCATCCTAAACGTGAAAACAGATGCAGGTGTCAAGCCGATGCTTAGGGAGATACTCAGCCCTCCCAAATCCCAAGAAAGGATTAGGCCTTCCAAAAAATTCTAGTGACAACTTTCTAGGAAGAGCAGGCCTTTGGTGATGGCTGGTCTTGAGGGCTGGGAATGGATGGCTGAGCTCCAGGAGGAACTGAGCTCAGGTGCAGCCTGTCCAAGGGCAGTGGGAGGCTCCAGTATGATGCTAGAACATTCTGTTGCCAAGGAGAAGGTCCGCCCTCTGTATAAAGTTCAGACAGTGCCCTCCACACAGGCTTCTGCCAGCCCTCATGACCTTGCAGCTGGCCTCTCTGTCCTCCCCATTCTTCACATCCAGCCAGTTTCTCCCACACACGGGGCCAGGGTTGCTCAGCCCTTTATACCCGGCCATAATGAGAGAAAAAGCATTTATGCTGAGGTGATTTTTGCCAAGAAAGAAGGCAACCATGGGCTTGTTTCTGTCATTCCTGCTGCACTAACCCTGTCAAAGTGTGACAGCCACTGCTTCCCAGGTGGCAAGACAAGAAATGCTGGGTTGAGAAGCTGGTCCAACGACCTTGAATTTCTGGAGAGAGAACTGGGAGGCCTTGCTCTTCTCCCTTTTCTGGGCTCACAACCCCAACACATACAATCCTTCTTCCACAATGTGGTGGTGAGTCATCCACACTGGGTGACCAATGGAGGCCTGGTCATTATCCAAACAATTAAGCCTCAACAGACCAATTTATCTGGCCATCCACTGTGAAACATATCTCAGACGTTCTAAAAAGATAGGAAAGAAAAGAAAAATTCAGCCTGTAATCTTAGTACTCTGGGAGGCCCTGGCTAGGAGCTTGAGACCAGCCTAGGCAACATAGTGAGACCCCCATCTCTACAAAAAAATATTAAAATTATCCAGGTGTGATGGCACACACCTGTAGTGCCAGCTACTTGGGAGGCTGAGGTGGGAGGATCGCTTGAGCCAAGAAGTTCAAGGCTTCAGTGAGCTATGACTGTGGCACTGCACTCCAGCCTGGAAGACAGAGTGAGACCCTGTCCCTAAAAAAGAAAAAAACAAAAAAATAAGGAAAAGAAAAAGCCAACCCCAACAGAACAAGACCAAAGCTAGGTATCCTCCTGTTTCCCCAACTTCCTTCTGGGACAGCCTCCCTCTAGAACTTTCTGTCCTCCTGGAAAGTGGCCTTCACTTGAGTTCAGCAACATTTATTGGACACGGCACTTATTTGGTCCAGACACTGGGGACGTAAAGAACACAGCCTGGTGGGGGCACAAGGTACAGAAACCACGAGGCCACGCTGGCCCTCCCAGCCTACTGGCCCCAACCTCCCCTCCAAGTGACACCCTGCGGGTGCACATCCTATCCCTCTGCCCAGAAGCCCCTCTTCCTACCACAGCTCCTTCTCTGACTCCTTGGCAGAGCGTGTGTGTCCTTCAAAGTCCAGCTCAGACACCACCCTGACTGCCAGAGCCCCTTCCTACCAAAAGTGTCCCCTCCGCATCAGTGCTTCACTCTAAGCCCCAAAATCTTTCCATTATGGCCAGCATCTACCATCAACTGCCCAATTCAAACCCCAGCCACTCTTTCTAGAATTTAACCTCAAAATCTGTGTCCTCATCTATAGAATAATAATCGTTGCTAAGTTGAATACCTGTATTCAACTGAATTTGAATGTGTATAGGGAGGCGCATGTGAGACCATTCAGATAACAGGCCATACGTGGTGCCTGCACACACTAGCTCTTAGAAAACATCTGCTAAGTATTCTGATGACTGGTTTGAGTCCAACCCCCTGATCTGTGGATCCCTGAATCTGTAGGGTCTGACCCAGGGCCAGAGCACAGAGTTCTGATATTGATCTGTCACACTCACTGTGCCCAGCATTTTGGAGAGCCCTGCAGGGGACGGGGAGGGGGACTTGCCCTGTAGAGAGCTGGGTTGCTGCCCCATGTGCTTACTGGCTTGTGCATTTCATTCCTCAGGTTGTTTGGGCTTGATAAGTGTAAATTACGTAGCCAGTGCATGAATGATCAGGGATACATACTTTGACCTGCACTGGGGCAGGAACACAGGACTTCCTCCTGGACCTGGCTTCCACTGGAGCAGAGCCCAAGGCAGGGCTTTTCCTACGCATAAAGCTCTGTTGTGGTTTTTAGAAACCACCCCCAGGAAGAGGAATGGCCAAGGGAGCAGAAAGGAGGAAATGTCAGCCCCAAAGTTGCATCTTGAGTTGGTCTCCTCCATGGACAACTGAGGCTCTGTCCTTCAGTGACCCTCTGAGGAGCTGGGGAGAATGGAGCTTGTCTGCACATGCCTTGCTTATAGGAGTGCTGGCCTGGTATGGTCCTGGTATCTCACCCTGCCCAATCTGAAAAGCCCAGGAGAGGGCAAAAGGGGCTGTTGGTCACACCTGCATACAACAGTGGCTGGCGCAAAGATAAGTGTGGAAGCTGTGAGGAGGCATAAGAAGTGTCCGGCGCCCAGACCCATCACTCCGCAAGAGACAGGCCTGTTGGTGTCATATGGAGAAAGACCCTAGAGCTCCAAGCTCTCAGGGTGCCAGACCAAAGATTCTGCAAGACCCTTGTCGGCCTGTCACCCAATGGGTGCTCTCTAGAGGACAGAGGGGTAAATGGCAGAGACACCTGAGGAACAGGCTTTCATGACGCCACGGAGCACCAGGTAAACCTCAGACAAGTCCACACTGTGAGGCCCAGGCCCAAGGGGCAGGGGACAGGAGGAGCCCCATGCCCTGTTGCAGGGAAAATCTGCTGCCCTGGCCCAGCCTCTTTGGGGATGCTGCATCAGGACAGCCTCACCCTGGTGGCGTCGCTTGCCTCCAGTGTGCAATGTCTGCAGGAACATCTGGGTCCCTGGCTAGAACCCCTTGTCCTGCCTCTTGAGTGCTCAGGGTATGCTATGGAAATGCAGACGAATTTTAACAAGATCCCAAGCTAAATGCAATCAGGGAGAAATGAAAACTTGGGCAAAACACATCACATGTTCCAAGGTCAAAGGTGAAAGCTGTTTGTGACTGTTGCACACCACTTCAGCTCTCTGTCACAGCCCTGCCTCTCCCCAGTATACCACTCTGATAGTTGAGTGATGTTTTAAGTATGAAAAACTGTCACACCTGGAAGGTGGGGGGGCCCTGGAAACCTGAGCTGCTGGGAAAACGTGCTCCCCTCCTCCATGAGGAGGACACAAGCCCACACCCCTAAGCCACTGTATGGGGCTGCTCTGATGGGGCTTCAGGATGTGCCCCAGCCTGGAAGGAGCTTGCTGATTCTTGCCTCTGAATGGCCATGTCCTGAGCTGGAGCACCTGAAGACAGCTATGGTGCCCAGAGGCCTGGGAGCTGTCGGGTAGCCTGGCCCCACTGCAGGTGGCAGATCTGGGAGCCACAAGAAATGCTCTGCTATTTCATACTATGCATTCTTCAGAGGCTGGTGCAATAGAGTTTAATCAACTTCCTCTGGAAGAGACTATATTCATGCAGACTTGTAAGAAAGAGAAATAACTTGAACTTTGGTTTGTTTGCTGTTCTTGGTGTGCACATTCATAAATCCCTAAAAACCCCGAAGCACAAGCACTGCCCCTGCCGTTCCTGCTCTCTGCTTGGTGGTCAGGCCACTCCATGCAGCAGACCAGCTCAGGCCTATGTGGCCTGGAACCATCTCTTCTACATGAGACAAGGCCGGGACCTCTGCCCCCACCCACAAGCACATGGAGAGGGAGAGGGAGCCCCCTGCCTGAGCAGCAGAGACCCCAGGAAGGAGGCCAAGCCCTCCTCACACAGGAGGTCTCCAGCTGCCCTCTGAGGTGAGGGGTGCCTCTCCCAAACAGCACAAAGTACAGCCCAGACCAGAATGTTTTGGAAGGACTCAGAAACAAGAAAGTGTGTGCTGAGTAAGGGCCGGGGCTGCAAAATACAGGGAAGAGAAGCCACCTTGCAGCCTGGACTGCGGGTTGTGCAAGCCCTGCCGGCTGCAGCCTGCCCTCCCAGGCTGGGGATTAACATGGGAGCAGACGGCTTGGCTCAGAACCAAGTGTGACTAATTGAGAGGACAAACAGGAAGGCTTTTCACCTGCCCAGACCTCATTCAGGGTTTCCTACGAGACGATAGCATCAGGAGCCCTGGCGAGTACAGGCAGTTTTGTTCCTTGCTCTGAGTCTCTTGTGCTGATGACGTCAAAGGGGCCTAAGACAGTGCCCCCAAACCTGGACAGAGTGTGGAGGAGAAAGAAAGCTGGTGAGCAAGCATTTTGGCCTTGAAGACCAGATCGCTCATCCCAAAGCTTGGGTCCCTGGCCTGGGAACTGGGTTTACTGATTCCCCTTGTGATTCTAGCTCCTTTAACCTTAAGACGGAGCCTTTCTTCTGGCAATTACCCAGGAATGGGACTTTCTTCCAGCACAGCAGAGAAAACAGGATTAAGCAAGGGGCTCTGGATCCTAAGACAGCCTCTGGAGCTGGCAGGAGAGTCTGGTGGCTTCTGCACTGGGCCAGACTTCCACCCAGGTTTCCAGTGACAAGGTTTTAAGGGAGAAATGCAAATCTGATGAACATTTAACTCCATGAAGCAGATAGCTTCAGGTTTGTCCTGCAGGATTCAGAGGTCTATGACCCCTGACACATCTACACTTGACCTGTAGCCAAAAATAGTTAAAAAGATTATAGAGCCCTAGAAACCTGGCCCTGTCTTCAGTGCCCACAGGGTAAAACGTATCTTCTGGGCTCATGGGAGAGGTGCAGTCACAGTGCCCTCCTGCCCCCTCATACACGGGGGTGCAGAGCCAGAAGCAAATGGGAGACAAACATTCCCCTAAACCCTAGTTCCAGCCCACACAGCCAAAAGCCAACTCCCCCTTAGAAAACCTTAGTATGCGTGTCAGCCAAATTCCTTAGGGTTGAGGCAGAGGTGTAGCGAGGGAAGCTTGCCGGACTAGAGTCAAGACACAGGTATGTTTAGCATGGGAAGGAAGGTATGACAGTCCCCACACACAGAGACGCAGACAGAGAGAGAGATGCACACAGAGACACACAAAAACATACAGACAAGATACAGAAACAACACTCACAGGCACAGTCACACAGACATACATGCACACATACATGCAGACTCATACAGATAGGCACACACAGAGGCACAGTCACACACAAAGACACACACACACACACACACACACACACACACACACACAGAGACAGACACAGATCTGTGGTCATCTCCACTGAATTGCCAGGGACATCACTGAAACAACTTGAACTCTGTCCACACCTGATTCAGGCAATAAGTGTCTGTGGGTCAGGGCAGGGGTTATGGGTGGATCCCACCGTGGTGTGACTGTGGGGAGAGTCCAGGGCAGCTCAGCAGCCTCCAGGGAAGGACACAGCCCAGGAGAAGTGCTAGGGGAGTCTGGGGCCCTGGTGGGTGGCTTGGACAGGTAGTGGGAGCAGCACCCAAGGAATACGGAGGCCCAACCAGTTGAGTGGCAGAGGCTCTAGCCAGCCTGGGCATGGGTGCCTTTTCCACCCAGGGTAAACTGCAGCCACAGGGGCAGGGGTCCCCGAGGAGAAGGCGGCACAAGGAAGGGCTCTCAAGGCACCTTCTTGAAGACCAGGAAGACTTTGTGAAAGGAAAATAAATCTCGGGACCCCAAAATCACTAAGCCAAAGGGCAAAGTCAAGCTGGTGTAAACCAAAAATAAAATTCTAAGTCCCCCGACAAGAACGGACCCTTCCTCTCAGCAAGGGCATTCCAAAGCTAACCTGAAAAACAAGTTCAGGCCATGATGGGAAGGGAAGTCAGGCATGACTCATTATACCCTCTTCCCTTTTGGAATTACTGATAGAATAGGGTCTTTAAGTCTGATAAGAAACATTTACAATCTATTGTCTCCGAAGCCTGCTACCTGGAGGCTTCACCTATGGTCTCCACAAACCCTTATCTTAACCCAGACATTCCTAAGTCTTTAGACAATAACTTAACTCTTTCAACCAACTGTCAATCAGAATATCTTTGAATCTACCTATGAGTTGGAAGCCCCCACCTTCCAGTTGTCCCGCTTTTCCAGACCGAACCAAAGTACATTTACATGCATTTGATTGATGTCTCATGTCTCCCTAAAATGTACAAGCTGTACTCCATCCACCTTGGATACATGATCTCAGAACCTCCTGGGGTTGTGTCATGGGCCACTGGTCACTCATATTTGGCTCAGAATAAATCTATTCAAATATTTTAGAGAGTTTGACTCTTTTTGTTGACACTGGGAACTGCGTCAGGCCTCCCATTTTATTCCTAAATAAGATAGCTACAAAGATTAAAAAAAAGCTACATACCTCCTTCACAATTTGCCTCAAGATCTATACCCTAAAACAGTTCTGTTGATTTTCACCCTGGCAATGTAAATTGGTAAGTTATCTTCACAGGTATGGGACAAAGGACAGAACTCAAAGTCATCCCTCTGGTCACCTGAGACAAATGCATATCTGATGGCTTCCTCTGCCCTATTGTTTATGTATAAAAATGAAGATTTGGCCGGGCACAGTGGTTCACGCCTATAATCCCGGCACTTTGGGAGGCTGAGGCGGGTGGATCACCTGAGGTCAGGAGTTCGAGACCAGCTTGGCTAACATGGTGAAACCCTGTGTCTACTAAAAATATTTTAAAAATTAGACAGGCGTGGTGGCACGTGCCTGTAATCCCAGCTACTCGGGAGGCTGAGGCAGGAGAATCACTTGAACCCAGGAGGCAGAAGTTGCAGTGAGCCAAGATTGCGCCACTGCACTCCAGCCTGGGCGACAAGAGTGTGAAACTCCATCTCGAAAAAAAAAAAAGTGCAGATTCACTGAGCCAGGCTTAGGCATAAGTGACTATTCCTCTCTACCTGCCTCTCACATGTAAATTGTATATTCAGTGAAAGGCTTATCAAAGACCCAAAAGAATGCAACCTTTTGTCTCTTGTTTACCTATGACCTGGAATGCCCTCCCACTCCTCCCAGCTTCCAGTCGTGCCATCTTTCTGCACTGAACCAATGTACTTCTTACACATATTGACTGATGACTCATGTCTCTCTAAAATGTACAAAAGCAAGCTGTGGCCCGACCACCTTGGACACATGTCGTCAGGACCTCCCGAGGCTGTGTCACGGGTTCATCCTTAACCTTGGCAAAATTAACCTTCTAAATTGATTGAGGCAAGTCTCAGATACTTTTGGGTTCACAACCTGATGAGAGAACAGAAAGGCCCCAGTCTGCTGATTGCCACCCTCAACATAGCACACCCACATACCCCCAAATACAGCACACACACCCCAACACGGCACACACAGAGGCTGCTGCTCCAAGCAGCACAACAGCTCATGGGACATTCAGGTGCTGCCTCCCCTTCCCTGGGCTCAGGGCCAAACCTAAACTACCTCTAAGGAACAGGTATCTAAGCCAACACATGCACCCCCAGCCCCTTTACAACAAGTTTCACAGAACCTTAGGTACAGAGAGGTGAGAAATTTCATCCAAATGTAAGAAAACAGCCTTCTACTCTCATAATTGAAGGAAGTGTGCTCAAATGCCAAAGTGTAGTACTAAGTTTCTGGAAAACTTACTTCCCTGGCTGAGGGTGGTGGAGGGAAGGACACTGATTCATCAAGAAGAGGAAAATATTCCAAGTACAATGTATAAAGGAGCAGGCATGCGATATATTTTTTAAGAATTTCCATTAAAATGGTTCTTTCAAAAAAAAGCTCTGATGCCTAACGGGTGAGCTTCAGCTCCCAGCAAAAATACACACTTTGTGAATTGTAGGCTCACTCCACTCTGTCCTTAAGTAATCTTAACCTCGTCTAAGTTTCAGATGCCCCTTTATTTCTCTTCTATCAGTATTTGGACTAAAAAAAACAAAAAGAAAAGAACAAAGCAGAAGCACCCGCTATTGCAAGGTATGCTCTTACCTGCCCCTCTCCCTGCCCATTCTGGCTTGGTCATGTCAGCCCTGGGCTGTGACCACCTGCCTGCCCAGAGCAGGGGACATCTCCAAGGGAGAGGTCCTGTTAACTCTAAGCCTAGCAATGTCCTGTGCTGGCTTTCTGGCCTAGAGCAGGGAGAATTTGTCCTGCTCCTGCCCTGGTTTGTCTCAGCTCTGTGGAATCTAAAATAAAAGACTGAAAGAGAGGACTACTCAATGATTCTAAGCAAGGTAAGATAGGTTGTAGTGATACCTGAGCATGCAGCTCATGGAGACAGGAATGATAATTTTATAAACTGCTGCAGATACTGAACAGAACCTTTTAAAAATCAAGGCTTTTGATATTGATAATTAATCTCTGTCTCTCCCTATTCTTTTCTTTTCTTTTTTTTTTTTTTTTTTTGAGACGAAGTCTTGCTCTGTTGCCCAGGCTGAAGTTCAGTGGTGTGATCTCGGCATACTACAACCTCTGCCTCCACAGTGCAAGCGATTCTCCTGCCTCTGCCTCCTGAGTAGCTGGGACAACAGGCATGTGCCACCATGCCCACCTAATTTTTGTATTTTTAGTAGAGACAGGGTTTCCTGTTGTTGGCCAGGCTGGTCTTGGACTCCTGGCCTCAAATGATCCACCCGCATCAGCTTCCCAAAGTGCTGGGATGACAGGGGTGAGCCACCACACCCGGCCAACTCTCCCTCTTCTTTCTCAATGTTATTGTGTGATCAGGCAGCCACAGGAGCCTGTCACTTATCAGCACATCTTGTCTCAATACCAGCCTGGTGGGGAGCAGGGGTTACTGCCCCCCACCACACCAACTACTTCCCATTCTCTTCCCACCCTCTTGACCCCATGGGCCTGCTGGTGGCAGCAGAGTGGCACATTGGCCAGAGAGGCTGCAGACCCTCTGCCAGGGGGTGAAGCAGCTCATCGCCAGAACTGCAAATGCCCAGGCGCAGGACAGACACTGGCCTGAAGGCAAAGGACCCTAGATGAGGTTACGGGCCCAGGGAAAGGGAGGTGACACCAAGAGGCACAGACTGTAACCGCAACTCTGTCACTAGAGTCCAGTATCCTCACCTGCAGAGTGTGGCTGGTGATGCCGACCTCACGGGGTGGCCGTGAGGACTGACTGAGCTGAAGGAAATCAGGCAGAGGTTCTGAACTGCCACCAGGAAGCCAATGCTTTGTTTTCAGCTATGGGACTACCGTTAATGTGGGACGCCTTACAGTGTCATAGACATCATTAAATGCTTTCAATGCTCAAGTGCCTGGTTATGTGCCTGGTACTACACTAGGCCACACAAATTCCACAAGCCCAGGGCAAACGGCTCCTTACCAAAAAGTAAATGATCCTGGGGGGAATCCTACAAACTCCCAGAAACTGCAGATGAAACATCAGATAAGCATGTCCATACACTTTTGTATACAGAAGGTTTCTCAGATTCTCAGAGTGGCCCATGACCCTGTAACAGCTAAGAACCACAGTTCTAGGGCTTATGATCCAAAAAGAGAGTAGGTATGAGCCATGGCCAAAGGAAAGGCTGCTGGTGCCAGCGACTGAGCATGAAGGCACAGGATGGCAGAGGAGATGCTTTCCTCCCCGGTGGGCAGGTGGCAGGCCCCACTCCAGCAGGGACCTATCACCTTCACGTCAGCCCATGCTATGCAGGACCAAGTGTGTGTATGGCAGCTGGGCAAAGTATCCAGTGAGAACATGCACACTTGGGCCTCAGATCTGGGTGTGGCTGGAGTCTGTGGGGAGAGTGAAAGCTTCACCTTGGGGAGGCATGTTTGGAAAGAAACTCACTTCAGCAGTCTCGAGGACTTTTGCCATTTGAGGTGCTGGGGGTGGGGAGGGCAGCGATGACTAGAGGCTGACAGTGTGGTCATCTGACAATCTTAAGAGCAGGTTCCACTTTTTTTTTTTTTTTTTTTTACATTTTTAAGTGTGAATCAGAGGCTGCTCCTGCCCCAGGCCCCACAGTCATCGCACAGAGCAAGGCGAGAGGTCTCCCAGCCAGCACCTGAGCACTCTCTGCTGCCCTTCAAACATACACCAAGCCCACACTTACAGGGCCTTTGCACTTCTTCCCAAAGCCTGCACTGCTCTCAGACATCGAAACAGTAATATTTTGCATAACACCATTTAACCTGAAAAGTTGGGCTGCAAGTATGACTTCAATTAAAAAATATAATAGACTATGTGAGTGGGAGTCATTTTTCCAGCTAACAGTCATTTTGTGCTGAGTATGATCTAAGAGCATTAAATGTACATTTATGGCGGGAAAAGCAGCAACTTAGGGAGCTCCACTGGAACAATATAAAATCCTATAATAAAGGCTATTCATGGCCAGGTGCAGTAGCTCATGCCCGTAATCCCAGCACTTTGGGGAACTGAGGCAGGTGGATCACTTGAGTCCAGGAGTTAGAGACCAGCCTGGACAACATGGTGAAACTCCATCTCCCCCAAAAAATACAGAAAATTAGCCAGGTATTGTGGCACACACCTAGAGTCCCAGCTGCTCTGGAGGCTGAGGCAGGAGATCACTTGAGCCCAGGAGGCAGAGGCTGCATTGAGCCGAGATCACACTCCAGCCTTGGTGACAGAATGAGATCCTATCTCAAAAAAAAAAAAAAAAAAAAAAAAAAAAAAGGCTATTCATGAAACCAAATAATTTAAACATATGGTGAGCATATGAGCATAGTATTCATAAGTGTTTCAGTTTTGAAAATCACATTTGTAATACCATTTTCAAATAATAATTATAAAATTCAGCAAGTAGTGGTGGGAAAACTGAAATATCCACATGTAAAAGAATGATGCCGGACCCTTAGCTGAACGATATGAAAAAAATTGACTCAAAATGGATCAAAGATCTAAACTGAAGAGATAAAACTATAAAACGAAGAAGAAAACACAGGAGAAAATCCTTGTGACCAAACATTTGACAATGATTTCTTGGATATGACACCAAAAGCACAGGCAATAAAAGAAAAAAATCAATAAACTAGATTTAACCAAAATGAACTCTTGCACATCAAAGGACACTATTAATAGAGTGCAGAAGCCCAGAGAATAGGAGTTAATACCCGCAAATCCCACATCTGATAAGGCGTTCGCTCCTGTAACTCAACAACAGAAAGCAAACAACCCAACTCAAAAATGGGCAAAGGCCCTGAATAGACTTTTCTCCAAAGAAGAGATACAAACGGCCAATAAGCACAAGGAAAGATGCTCAACATTATTCGTCATTAGGGAAATGCAAATGAAAACCTCAATAAGATGCATTTCACACCCATTATCAATGGCTATTATCAATAAAACAGAAAATAACAAATGTTGATGAACACGTGGAGAAACTGGAGCCCTTGGGCACTGCTGCCGGTGGGGATGTAAAGTGGTGCGGCTGCTGTGGAAAGCGGTTGGCAGTTCCTCAGAGAGCTACACACAGAATTACCATGTGATTCAGCAATTTCACTCCTAAGTACACACCCCAAAAAATTGAAAGCAGAAATTCAAACAGATACCTGTACCCCAATGTTCACAGCAATACTATTAACAACAGCCAAAAGGTGAAAACAAGCCAAGTGTCCCTCAACAGATGGATGAATGAACGAAATGTGCTGTGTCCACACATGGGATGATACAGCCAGAAGAGGGAACGAGTTCTGACACACGCTACAACACGGATGAACCTTGAGGTCACGATGCTAAGTGAAATACGCCAGACCCAAAAGAACAAAGATCATATGACTGTACTTCTATGAGATGCGTGGAGTAGTCAAATGCATGGAGACAAAGAAGAGCAGATATTAGGGGCCAGGGGAGAAAGGTTTAGGGAATGTGTTGTTATATAACGGGTACAGAGTTTCTGTTTGGAATGAAGAAAAGTTTCAGAAATAGATAATGGTAATGATTATAAAACACTATGACATACTTAATGCCACTGAGTCTTCACTTTAAAATGGTTAAAACATAAATTTTATATTAGGTATATTTAACAATTTTTAAAACTTTTAAAATTACAAATTAAAAAGGACAGTAACAACACTTTTCATCTCATAGCATGCACTAATTAGCACAAAGACTCCGATTTCTTAGTCTACATCTGGAGATAAATTTAAATGTGTGCATTCTCAGAGCAGAGAGGCAGCCATGGCTCTTAAAGATGAGAGTTTGTGAAGACAGAGGTGTACCAGTTATCTCTTGCCCTTCTTACCTGAGCCTGGACTCAAAAAGCATCCAAAGACCTTTCAATGCCCTATAGGATGCCACATCCTACACTACATCAGGGTCTATACTCAGGATCCTACACTGGTTGGAGAAGTTCTGAGGCATTCTCAGCATCTATGCCATGGAAGAAAACAGAACAAACTTCAGGACTTCTCAGAAATTAGTAAGTCTGCAAAAGTTTTTATCAACCTTTTCCATTTATATTAACGTGTGGCAAAATAGCTAATGGCAGGTCCAGCCGAATCAATGGAATGGGCAGGCACATTTACAAGCTTTATTCAAAACCTCTGTAAACCAAAAATAAAATTCTAAGCCCCTCAACCATCTGAATGGACCCCTCCTCTCAGCCAAGGGCCTTCCAAAGTTGGCCTGAAAAACTAGTTCAGGCCGTGATGGGAAGTGAAGGTCAGACATGCCTCATTATGTCATGATGGGACGTGGAGGTCAGACATGCCTCATTATGCCCTCCTCCCTTTGGAATTCAGGTACAACTGACTGGTATAAACATTAAAACAGAGATCTTGAGACTTTTTGTTGCAATCAGACACCAAATTCTAGCTTGACTCTAGTATAGCATCACATGACAGACACCAGGCCATGAAAGAAATCAAAATATTTTACCCAAAAATACATTTCTTTGACATATTTTGAAAGGGCCCTGCAAAGCTGTCTCTTGTGGGGAAAAATCTACATTCTGTAGAGAATCCTTTTCCTCTTCTCTGATCCAGGAGAGAATTAACTAAGAGTCTGGTACCTTAAGTCTGGTAAGAAACATTTCCAATCTATTCTCTCTGAAGCCTGCTACCTGAAGGCTTCATCTGCATAATAAAAACCTTGGTCTCCACAACAGATGCTCCCTCCTAGGGATTCCAGGTCTTCTGATAATAACTTAACTCTTTTAACCAATTGCCGATTAGAAAATCTTTGAATCTGCCTATGACCTGGAACACGCCCCCCGCCCCCTCCAATTGTCCCGCCTTTCCAGACAAAACGAATGTATCTTACATCCTACATCTATTGATTGATGTCTTATGTCTCCCTACAATGCATAAAACCGAACTGTGGCCCATCCACCTTGGGCACATGTTCCCAGAACTTCCTGGGGCTGTGTCACAGGCCATTGGTCACTCACATTTGGCTCAGAATAAGTCTCTTCAAATATTTTACAGAGTTTGACTCTTTTCATCAACACTTCCTTGACCCCGGCCTGACTTCCAGCCTTGGTCTAATTTTCTTCAGGCTCCAGACCTGTGATCCTATGCTTGGTACTTTAATTAACTTTAAAATCCTCTGGAATGAGTGAATGGCACAGGCGATATAACTGTAGGGAACTAGAAGAACTCTGTGGCATGAGGCTTATCCCAAGCTATGCCACGAGGAGGCATGGGTCTCCAAAGCCCCCCACGAAGTCTCCATATTGCTCTCCGTCAGAACAAGGATTTGCTCTTTTCGGACTGAAGAGAAAGCAGCTCTGATGGTTAATGAGCTGCCAGACAGCAAGAGGAATGCTCGGAGCCATGTGGGGGAAGGGGTGAGGAAGGAGGGAGTCAAGTCTGACGTCGGGCCTGCCAGGTTTCACACCTTTACATACAAACTGATGGTACCAAGGAGAAAAATAGTTCCTTAACTTAATAAATGTAAGAGGAATTCTGTTAAAATTACATTTCAACGCTGGGCATGGTGGCTCACGCCTGTAATCCCAGCACTTTGGGAGACCGAGGTGAGCGGATCACTTGAGATCTGGAATTTAGACCAGCCTGGACAACATGGTGAAAACATGTCTCTACTGAAAGTACAAAAATTAGCCAGGCATGGTGGTGTACGCCTGTAATCCCAGCTACTCAGGAGGCTGAGGCAGGAGAATCGCTTGAACCCAGGAGGCGGAGGCTGCAGTGAGCCGAGATGGAGCCACTGCACTCCAGCCTGGGCGACAAAGCAAGACTCTTGTGTCAAAAAATAAAAATATAGGCCGGGTGCCATGGCTCATGCCTGTAATCCCAGCACTTTGGGAGGCCGAGGCGGGTGGAACACCTGAGATCAGGAGTTCAACACCGGCTTGGCCAACATGGCCAAACCCCATCTCTACTAAAAGTAACAAAAATTAACTAGGCCTGGTGGCGGGTGCCTGTAATTCCAGTGACTCAGGAGGCTAAGGCAGGAGAATTGCTTGAACCCAGGAGGCGGAGGTTGCAGTGAGCCAAGATCGCACCACTGCGCTTCCAGCCTGGGCAACAAAAGCGAAACTCCATTTAAACAAACAAACAAACAAACATTTCAAAATATATGCACTATTTTACTTTGTCTGATTTTAAAATTCACGAGATCTGCAAAGTACATGCTTTTTATGAATACCTTTTAAAAAACTGAGTAGGTTTTCTTTAGATAACTAGTTGTAGAAAAATTAAAGAACCTGTGTTTTCCTGTTGACCTTCATATGAAGAGCAGGAGGCAGATCACTCCTTAAAACTGGCCTTATGTACTTTTCCTAGGATATACATTCAAAATATGGAGTTGTCACATGTTTCTTCCTAAAAGAGTTTTCGTAAGAACTCTTGCTATTCTTAGCACCTCAAAATCAGGAGAAAAGAAATGATCCTTCTTAAACACATCCATCCACTAATTAGCTAAACTACACAACATCCAAGAGTCTGGCCAACGCTCACTCCTCTCTATACACTGTTGACCCCATCTCTGGCAGAAAGAGGTCCTGTAGTTCTAGAGGCAGCATTCCCCATTACCTTATTAAATAAATAGCAATCAAAAAGAAGATAGCACCATGCTATTAAGTATAGAAACACAACATTCTTAATTTTATTCACCAATAATCAGGACCTACAGAACCACACAGCACAGATGGATCGATTTCTGCCTCCATGAATTTTAAATTGCCTTTTGCAACATTCCTCTGGCTCAGATGAGCTAGTGTTCCACAATATGCTGGCTCGTGAAATCCAAGCAACTGTGCCTTCCTCTACACTTCTTCACTCAGCCTCAGCCTTAAATTGCACACTGCCTATAAAAATGTACTTAAAAGAAAAATGAAGTTACTCTAAAATGCCATATGCAACAAAACAGCTTATTCTTGTAGATGGGGCTGCCACTGGTGGGGTGCACCTGCATTTGTTTTGCTCTTACAGCATGCCCAGAGCCCAGCAGCCCTCCAGCATCACACCGAAGGAAGCAGCCCAGGAAAAGAAGGGAATGTGTTCACGTGACGTGACTTTAAGGATTGATTTAAATGGTGACATGGTTACGCTTTGCGTCCCCACCCATATCGCATCCTGAATTATAATCCCCATAATTCCCATGTGTCAAGGGAGAGACCAGGTGGAGGTGACTGGATTATGGGGGCGGTTTCCCCCATGCTGTTCTCGTGATAGTGAGTTCTCAAGAGAGCTGATGGTTTTATAAATATTTGGTAGGTTCTCCTGCATTCATTCTCCTTCCTGCCACCTTGAGAAGAAGGTGCCTTGCTTCCCCTTCAACCATGATTGTAAGTTTCCTGAGACCTCCCCAGCCACAGTGAACTGTGAGTCAATTAAACCTCTTTCCTCTATAAATTACCAAGTCCCAGGCATTTCTTTACAGCAGTGTGAAAGCAGACTAATACAAAAGGCAACTCTCACCAATCATGGTGTCCATGAGAAATGAAGTGTATTCTCCCTTGCTCTCTGCCAGTGGCCTAGAAAACAAGCTGGATGGCAACCAGTAGGTAGATAACACAGACATGGCAGGGCCCTGGCATACAGGCACACCCATGCACAAAAAGGGAGCTGGAACTATCATTTCATTTATGGAATCTCAACTAACTGCATGTGTTCTAATCTATTATACAAGTTGTTTTTACAGCATTTGTTATAAGAAAAATAGGACTTCTAAGTTTATAGCCAAAGGGCCCAGAACAGTTTAAGGAAGAGTTTTTTTTCCACCAACCAAGAGTAGCATGGTAATATGCAGAAATCTAACTTCCTAATATCAAGTTTAGATTTTAGACAGCAAGGGTCGTAATACAACTCTTCTGATTTTCTTTATTCAAAAATAAAAGAGGCACAAAAAATATAGAACTAAAATGCCCAATGTCATCCGAAATAGCAGGTTCACCAAAAGGTTATAAAAGTAAACTTGCATTTTGGGGGGATTAATTACAATTACTAGAGAGAGAATGAATTGCTTTTCAAAGAAATGTATCTCAAGAAAATGCTGACTAATGGGGTAGATGGTTATTCAATTTCCCTGTTTTATAGGTGAACCTACAGGTCATGGTCTGCTGAGCAGCAAGAAGCTGCCCTAAGCAAGCCCTCTTCCAGCCAGCACAGACATGGACCACTTTTCCAGAAGGACAGGTTCTTTCATGGCCTCTCCTTTGGCAAGCTTAACCAACCACCTACAAGCACTCTCACTTCCAAGACAAAGTTATGTGGGATACATATCAATTCATGTCCATCTCTAGTCAATCACATTTTGCCAACTCTAACACATGGTACATGGTGATGGTTTTGGAGTATCAAATGAGGGATCTGGGGAGAAGGGACACCGGCATTTTCACCAAAACCCTGGTGGCCGAGCACACCTACACATTATGCTCCAGAGTGCGGAGATCTTCCAGGAGCTCCTGGGCTGCGGTTTGCAGGCGGGGGTTGCGGCTCTTGGACATTGCCAGGATGCGTTGCAGGGGCAGGGAGCTCCGGAACTCAGAGGCCGACTTGGAGAAGACTTCAGGTTCCAGAACCACAGACTGGACAAGCCTCAGTACATGAAGGCACACCTCTGCATCTGGATCTAGGGAAAAGAGGTAATGCTTCTGGTTAGAATAAAATTTTCTTTTTTCTTTTTGTTTTATTTTTTTGAGACAGAGTCTCGCTCTGTCACCCAGGCTGGAGTGCGGTGGCATGATCTCTGCTCACTGCAACCTCCGCCTCCCAGGCTCAAGAGACTCTCCTGCCTCAGCTTTCCTCTGTAACTGAGGCAGGAGTTTCCCAAGTAACTGAGATAACAGGTGTGTGCCACCATGCCTCGCTAATTTTTTGTATTTTTAGTAGAGATGGAGTTTCATCATATTGGTCAGGTTGGTCTCGAACTCCTAACCTCAAGTGATCCACCCACCTTGGCCTCCCAAAGTGCTGGGATTACAGGCGTGAGCCACCGCGCCTGGCCTAGAATAAAATGTTCTACTGCAATCTACCCCTCAAGGGGTTCCTGGCCTTTCTGAATAACACGTTTGACAGTTTAGAAAACTACAGGATAACCCAGAAACACAGTCACTGCTTGATATAAAAGCTTAGCTCATAAAAGCAGCATCAAAAAACTCAATAGTCTAATAACCATCATCTTCAAATATTACAGTCATACAATTTTAAAGTGTTAAACTAGAAAGATGAGGGCTTTCTCTGTTTGCTAGTGAGGACTAAACTCTGATTTTTTTTATCTTGCCCAAATTCCTATCTAAGGGGTCTGGGGAGTCATGTCCTACAAATCACAAATTCTCATCAGATGGGTTTTATTTAACCCTATATATCATGACTTTCCAACCTGACTCTGGCATAACATTATGAGACAAGAAAGAAAATAAAAATACTTTACCCCAAAATATGTTTCTTTGCCATATTTTGAAATGGCCCTGCAAAGCTGTTCTTTGTGGGGGAAAATCTGCATTTGTAAAGAATCTCTACTAACATAGCTAGATCTTTTTCTTCGAGACCCTCCTAATCCTAAAGAGATTAACTAAGATCTGAATAGGAAACATCTGTCATCTATTGTCTCTAAGGCAGCCACCATAAGACTTCAAAAGAACTTGGATGTCCACAATCTTTACCTTAACCTGAACATTCCCTTTCTATCAATCCCAGGTCTTTATCAATCAGAAAATGTTTAAATTCACCTATAGCCTGGAAGCCCCACGCCCCCCAGCTTTGTCCCACTTTTCTGGACCAAACCAATGTATTTCTTAAATGTTTTTGATTGATGTCTCACACCTCTCTAAAATGTATAAAGCCAAGCCGCACCCAACTACCTTGGGCACATGTTCTCAGGACCTCACTCATATTTGGCTCAGAACAAATCTCTTCAAATATTTTGCAGAGTTTGACTCTTTGTCGACAGTAGCATTCTGTCCACTTATAAGATTGTTTTAAAAAGTATTACTTCTTTTTCACTCCAATTGCAGCAAATCCCTCAGGGACCACATACAGATACAGCACTTATCAGGGCCACTGAGTTTACACAATGTCACTGGGTATATAAAATTCACGTTGTTTATTTTCCATGGGAATGGCCCCAGGACTTATAGAATCTGGTAGCCTTGCATACATTGTAGCAACCACTAAAAAATAGCTAGACAAACCCACTGGAAGCTTCAATCCATCACCAGAGTGGAGCCAACTTTCCTTACCATTCCTCTCTACTGGCAGCCTTTACGATGCCGTAAATTCACTCCTTGACTGGGTACTGCAACTGGAACCAGGCTCAAAATCAGCACCTCTTTCTTAGCACATTTACTTAACAAATAAAAAAATTAAAAAAAAACCTTTTAAGATGTAGACTGAAAGAGCAGACTGAACAGTCTCTCAGTGGGAGCTGCCACAGCACTAAGCCCTAACAAGAAGCTTCTCACCTACAGAATCAGAAGACTGCTGTGGCCAGGGAAGATAAAAGGCAATCTGCTCTAGCCCTCAGGGAGGGTCCAGGAGCCATCTTAAGCCAGCCTGTTAGAGTCCTCCTACTTTGGGGGAAGGGAGGGGAACTTTCTCTAGTAGAGACCTGCCAAAGATAAGGGGCAGCTAAGGCAGACACAGAGGCAAGGCCAAAAGCCATGGGTGAAGACGCTTTGGCAACTCAGCCCTCATCCTAAGCTCAAGGAAAGGTTAGAGGAATTTGAAGCCAGTGGGATGGAAGGTACATACACAACAACAAAACCCAGACCCACCTTAACTCCCCAACAATGAAAACCCAGCGGAAAAAGAGGAGTGGCCATTCCTGAATATAACACTATCTACCCACCTCATTCCCCTCTACAGAGAGGGTACGCATGGCCCAGAGGCCAAAGGTAGCCCATGACCCGTTTCTGTACAGCCTGCAAGCTAAGAATGGTTTTACTTTTTTTTTCTTCTTCTTCTTCTTCTTTCCTCCTCCTCCTCCTCCTCCTCCCCCCCCCTCCTCTCCTCCTCCACCACCTCCTCCTCCCCCCCCCCTCCTCCTCCTCCTTTTGGAGACAGGGTCTTGCTCTGTCTCCCAGGCTGGAGTACTCTGGTACAATCATGGCTCACTGCAGTCTCAATCTCCTGGGCTCAAGCCATCCTCCCACCTCGGCCTCCCAAGAAAGAGGGACCACAGAACATGTGGCCACGCCCAGTTAATTTTTCACATTTTTTTGTAGAGACGGTGTCTCACCACACTGCCCAGGCTGGTATCAAACCCCTGGGCTCAAGCAATCCTTCCACCTCAGTCTCCCAAAGGGCCAGAATTAGAGGCATGAACCATTGCAGCCTGCCAGGTTTTACATTTTTTAAGGGTAATTTTTTAAAAGTAAAAACCAGAAGAATAACATGCAACAGGGACTACACGTGGCTCTCAAAACTCAAAATATTTATTTGGCCCATTACAGAAAAAGTTTTTTGACCTTGCCTACTGCCCTCCACACAATGTCCAACACTGAAATCAAAAATTACAATGAAGAGGCAATGGAGGCCAGGCGCAGTGGCTCACACCTGTAATCCCAGCACTTTGGGAGGCCAAGGCGGGCGGATCACGAGGTCAGGAGTTTGAGAACAGCCTGGCCAACATAGTGAAACCCCATCTCTACTAAAAATATAACAATTAGCTGGGTGTGGTGGCGCACGCCTGTAATCCCAGGTACTCAGGAGGCTGAGGCAGGAGAATCCCTTGAACCCAGGAAGCAGAGGTTGCAGTGAGCTGAGATTGCGCCACTGCACTCCAGCCTGGGCAACAAAGTGAGACTCTGTCTCAAAAACAAACAAACAAACAAACAAACAAACAAACAAAAGAAGGCAAAGGAAACAAAAGGCTCATTGTCAAGTGACAATCAACAGAAGCAGACACACAGATAACCTGGAATAATAATACAGGAATTTCAGAAAAAGAATCTGAAATAAATATGATCAATAGATGGGAAAACACTGTTTTAAGGTACTTACACTATACCTGAAGCAGCGGATTATTATTTAAAGGTAAACAGTCATGCAATGTATAACATTTCAGAGAGCTTCATTGTCAAATTCTATCAAAAAATTAGAACAGAAATAATAGAAATTTTAAACAAGTCTTCCAGAAAACAGAAAAGGAGGAAATAAGTCAACTTTTTTTTATGAGGCCAGAATTACACTGACACCAAAACTAGATAAAGATGTTAAAATAAAAGAACAGACCAATATCCCTCATAAACAAAGACACGAAAATCCTAAACAAAAAAATAGCAAATTGCATTCAGCAATATATAAAAAGGATAATACTTCACAGCCAATAGACACTTATTCTAGGAATGGAAGGCTGGCTCATTATTTGCAAATCAGTCAACATCACCTACCGTAACAACAGACTAAAGAAGAAAAAAAAAATTATCTCTTCAATAAATGCAGAAAAGCCTTTTGACAAAATTCAACATCTGTTCATAACAGTAATAATAATAATAAACCCTCAACAAAACAGGAATAAAAAGGAACATCCTGAACCAGATTAGGGGCATCTACAAAAAACACACAGCTAACATCATACTTAATGATAGAAGACTGAATGCTTCTTTCCTAAGATGACGTACAAGGCAAGAATATCCTATCACCCCTATTCAAAATCATACTAGAGATCCTAGCCTGTGCAGTAAGGCAAGAAAAAGAAATAAAAGGTTTATTGATTAGAAAGGCAGAAATGAAACTGTCTCTATTTGCAGATGATATGATTGTCTATACAGAAAATCCCAAAGAAACTAGAAAAAAAGTTATTAGAACTAATTGAGTTTAGCAAAGTCACAGAATACAAATTCAACATACAAAGGTCAATTGTATCCACATACTTATAACAAAAAATTAAAAATCTAATGTTTTTTAAAAATTACCATATATTATATAATAGCACCAAAACATGAAACACTTAAGTATAAATCTCATGAAACTATGTGCAAGATTTCTATGCTGAAAACAACAAAACACAGATATAAGGATCCACAGACATATAGATGGAGAGAATATGCCATATTTATGGACTAGAAGACTCAATATTGTTAAAATGTCAAATCTCCTCAAATTCATCTATATAATCAATGCAATGCCAACCAAAATCCAAGTTGAAATTTTAGCAGAAATCAACAAGTAATTCTCAAATTTATTTGGAAAAACAAAGGAACTAGACCAGACAAAACAATTTAGAGAAAGAGAAATGTTGGGGAATTGCAGTACTAGATTTCAACATTTATGGCCATAAAGAGTGTGGTACTGGTCAAGTGACAGAGCGACAGACAAAGAGATAAGTGAAATAAAATTAGAGGATCCAAAAACAGACCACAGCTTTGTGAACTCTCAACAAAGGTATACATTCAATTCAATCAAGAAAGAATAACCTTTACAACAAATGGTGCTGGAAAAATTGAACATCCATATGCAAAAACAAAGAACTTCAATCTATACCTTGCCTAACATACAAAAATTATACAAAAATTAATAACATACCTAAATGTAAAACCCCAAATTTTAAAACTTCTGGAAGAAAACAGGAGAAAAATCTTTGTGACCTTGAATTAGGTAACAATTTCCTAGACACAAAACCAAAAGCATAATCCATACAACTAAATAATTTATTAGCCACACCAAAATTTTAAAAATCTGCTCTTCAAAAGACAGTCACAATGAAAAGACAAGCCACTAGATGAGGACAAAACATTTGCAAAACACGTATCTGATAAAGGACCTAAATCCAGAATACACATACATCTCTGAAAACTCAGTAACACAACAGCCCAATAAAAATAGGGAAAGTGTTTGAAAAGACACTTCACCAAAGGAGATACACAAATGGCAAGCACACAAAAAGATGCTCAGCATCATGGCTATTAGAAAAATGGAAATTAAATCCATACCTATTAGAATGGCTAAAATTAAAAAATAAAAATCTGAAAATACCAAGTGTTGACAAGAATGAGGAACAACTGGAATGTTCATAGATTAGTGGTGAAAATTTAAAATGGTACTGCCAGGCCAGGCGCAGTGGCTTACGCCTGTAATCCCAACACTTTGGGAGGCTGAGGCAGGCAGATCACCTGAGGTCAGGAACTTGAGACCAGCCTGGCCTCCATGGTGAAACCCCATCTCTACTAAAAATACAAAAATTAGCTGGGTGTGGTGGTGCACGCCTGTAATCCTAGCTACTTGGGAGGCTGAGGCAGGAGAATCACTTGAACCCACGAGGTGGAGGTTGCAGTGAGCCGAGATCGTGCCACTGCACTCCAGCCTGGGCAATAGAGCGAGACTCTGTCTCAAAAATAAATAAAATAAATAAAATAAAATAAAATAAAATAAAATAATAAAATAAAATAAAATAAAATAAAATAAAATAAAATAAAATAAAATAATAAAATAAAATAAAATAAAATAAAATAAAATAAATAAAATGGTACAACCACCTGAGACAACAATTTGGCAATTTCCTATACATTTAAACACATACTTACCACATAACTCAGCATATGAGTTATATGCTGAGATAGTTTTATGTCACAACTCATACAATTGTCTACTAACAAGTGAATTTTGTTCTATGTAAATTATAACTCAACAAATCTGGCTTTATATTAAAAATAAGAAGAAGGCCAGGCTTGGTGGCTCACGCCTGTAATCCCAGCACTTTGTGAGGCCAAGGTAGGTGGATCACCTAAGGTCAGGAGTTCGAGACCAGCCTGAAAAACATGGTGAAACCCTGTCTCTACTAAAAATACAAAAATTAGCCAGGTGTCATGGCAGGCACCTGTAATCCCAGCTACCTGGGAGGCTGAGGCAGGAGAATCACTTGAACCCCAGAGGCAGAGGTTGCAGTGAGCTGAAATCACGCCATTGCACTCCAACCTGGGCGACAGAGTTAAGACTGCATCTCAAAACTAAAAAAAAATAAAAATAATAATAAGAAATTAGATCCCTGGACCCTCTCCCCTATTCCCTGCCTCTGGAAAAATGCCCTTCCCTAGTAGAGACTGGACATTTCTTTTCTTTTCTTTTTTTTTGTGAGACAGAGTCTCACTCTGTCACCCAGGCTGGAGTGTAGTGACGTAATCTCAGCTCACCGCAACCTCCGCCTCCCAGTTCAAGTGATTGTCCTGCCTCAGCATCCTGAGTAGCTGGGATCACAGGCACCTGCCACCACACCCAGCTAATTTTTATATTTTTAGTAGAGACGGGGTTTCATCATGTTGGCCAGTCTGGTTTCGAACTCCTGACCTCAGGTGATCCGCCCACCTCAGCCTCCCAAAGTGCTGGGATTAGAGGTGTGAACCACCCCACCTGGCCTGGACATTTATTTTCTAAAGAATCTCTGGAGGTGAAACATCAGGCACAATTGAGGATGGAGGTTCTGTCTGGAAAACATGTGGATTAGATAAACACATACCTACAAGCTCTAAGACATTCCCTCTATCTCTACTTTGTTTCCGGAGTTTATAGGCCTTCATCCCTCCAGAAATAAGGGTGGGTGAGTCTTCTCCAGACAATCTGAACAACCCAAGACAACACAGTCGAAGATACTGACCTATGGGTTCCCAATTAATTGATGCACCAGCTCACACTGCAGAAAAGTTCAGAAGCTCCACCCATATGCTCACAGCTTCCAATCGGCATTATAAATCCCACTGTTAAACATGACCAGACAACCACACATCACCAGACACCTGAGAAAAAGATAAATGGCTATCATTTTAAACAGGAACAAAAGGAGGACAAAGAAAAGAGATTGTGCAGTGAGAAGAAAAGTTTTAAAAAACTATTATTAATATCTTCCTCAAGGAGGTAAAAGAAGCTATATCATCTGTTAAACAAGAATGGGATGCTATTTTTTAAGACAATTAAAAATAAACAGCAGTCTTAGAAATTAAATGCCTGAGAGTAGAGATGAAAACTTCAATAGGAAGTATGAAAAAAGAAGTTGAGAGTACAGATGTCCCCTCTTATCTGTTGCTAAAACTTTCTGTGGTAGTGCCGGCATGTGTCAAATACAATCAAACTTGTTCCTGTCAGGTGCTTTCTGACAGTGGCAAAGCTCTCAGGGCACACACTGAGCATTCCCTCCTCCTATGGGCTTCCTGGCCACCTCCAAAGCACATATGGATTCTGGACCATGTCAGCCACATCTTAGGCAATGCCCCAGGCTCCTTGAGCACCTAGGAACATGGAGTCATCGAGCAGCAACATAAGCCCATTCTTACAAGCTTCAAAGAACAAGAAGGCAAAAAAAAAAAAAAAATCTTCCTTGACCCCAAACTGGCCTCCAGTTCTGCCCAGTTCTTGACTCCCTTCCCAGGAATATTACAAGAGTGGTCTGTTGTTGCTACCGCCCCACCTCACCTTCACCCTTCAGTCACGCTACCATCTGCTCACTGCTGAGACAGCTTCTCTCAAGGTCACCAATGTCCTCCATGTTGTCACTGCTCAGCTTTCGTCTCACTTGACTCCTCTGGCTTTTCTTGGCTTCCATAGCACTCCTTCACCAGTCCCTCCTTATACTTCTCCTTTAGATGCTAGCCCAGGGCTCTGTCCTAGGCTTCCTTCTCTTTCTACTCTCCTTAGGTGACTTCGTCTACTCCATGACTTCAAATCCCATGTATCTACCAGTGACTCTAAATCCATTTCTCCAACCCCAGCCTTTCCCTGGAATTCCAGACTTCATAGCCACAAAAACTTGCCTGGACAACTCCCCTTGGGAATTTACTGCCAACTCAGGTTTCACAAGGCCAACACCCAACTCCTGATTCTCTGTGCTCCTGCCTCATCTTCCCCATCTCAGTAAACAACGTTACCATTTACCCACCCAAAGATGCAGGTATTCTCAGTAAACAGCATTACCATTTACCCACCCAAAGATGGCAGGTATTGTTATTGATTCGTCTCTTCTCTCACATCACATCTTATCAACTCTACCTCCCAACACGCCCTAAGCCCATAACCACCACCCTAGTCTAAGCTATCCTGCTTCCCCCAGACTACTGTAATAGCCTTCTTGGTGGCTTGCTTATTTAATTTTGCATTCTTGCCTCTTCCTACCCCTATCCATCTGCCATGCTGCAGCTAGAATTAAACTGTTTGTTTGTTTGTTTCTTTCTTTGTCTGAGACAGAGTCTGGTTCTCTTGCCCACGCTGGAGTGCAGTGGCATGATCTCAGCTCACCGCAACCTCCGCCTCCCAGGTTCAAGTGATTCTCCTGCCTCAGCCTCCCGAGTAGCTGAGACTACAGGCACATGCCACCATGCCCAGCTAATTTTTGTATTTTAAACTTTTTAAACAGAAATCAGAATACACACCTTCCCTGCTCTCCCACAGATCCTCACTGCACTCATGATGGAGACCCAAGTCCTCGTTCTGGCTGATGAAGCCCCGCCAGATCAAGCCCTCCTGCTTCCCGGCGTTCCCCTCGTATCACTCATCCATCTGCACCATGCCCCAGGAGCGCCAGCCTGCTCTGCATTTTCTTAACCAGAATGTTCCTGCCCCAATCTTCACATGTCTTGCTCCTTTCAAATCTCACTCAGTAGAGCAATTCCAGCTCCAACATGCTGAGAACTAAGCTCCGATTTTTTAAATCTTGCCCAAATTCCTACCTAAGGGGTCTGGGGAGTCATGCCCTACAAACCATGGATTCTCATCAGATGAGTTGTATTTGACCCTATATATTGTGACTTACTTTTCAATCTGACTCTGGCATAACATTATGAGACAAGGACAAAATATTTAACTCCAAAATATATTTCCTTGCCATGCCCTGAAATTGCCCTGCAAAGTCTTTTGTGGGAAAAATCCACATTCTACAGAGAATCCCCTTCCTCTTTTATTTTCCTTCCTTTCTTTGCAGATCCAGGAGATAATCAATTAAGAGCCAGGCACCCTTTTAGGTCTGATAAAAAACAATTTACAACCTGCTCTCTCTGAAGTCTGCTATCTACGGGCTTCCTCTGCACAATAAAACTTGGTCTCCGCAATCCTTTATCTTTAACCTGAACATTCCTTTCCATTGATCCTAGGTCTTCAGACAACCTCAACCAGTTGTCACCCAGAAAATGTTTAAATTTACCTATCACTTGAAAGCCCCTGCTTTGGGTTGTCCACCTTTCTAAACTAAACCAACGTAATTCTTAAACATATTTGATTGATGTCTCATGCCTTCCTAAAATACATTAAACCAAGCTGTACCTCAACCACCTTGAGCTGAATGTTCTCAGGACTTCCTGAGGGCCGTGTCACAGGCCCTCATTATGGTCACTCATAATTAGCTCAGAATAAATCCCTTCAAATATTTTACAGAGTTTGACACTTTTTGTCAACAATGCAAAGAGCTTAGAAATCAGCACTTCCATCCTTCACTAAGAAAAGCAGAACAAACAAATCAATGACTTTTCTTGGACCCATCAAAGAATTAAGGCCACCATGAAATCTGGAGAGTCACAACAAGATCTGCTTCCCTGGAGGAAAAGCTGCTGTAGCCATACCGGTGGGAACATTTAAATGACAAATTGTTGGAAGCTGAGGGTGGACAACCATGAGAATCAGGAACTCCTGGGGGTCGCAGTCTTAGGGGGGCCCCATATTTTTGTGGATTTTGTCTCTAGGAACCCCATGAGGTTCTCAAAGTGCGAAGAAAGCTCCCTCGTGGCTCTGGCAGGGGGACAGGAAGAGTAGCCATTATGAATACACCCTGTTTCCAGGGAAAGACCTCACCAGAGCCTTATCTCACCTAAAGGGAAGGGCTTTTCTCCCACTCCAGGCCTCTCTGCCATCCCTGACTTACCTAAGCAGGGGAGGGGGTTAAGAAACACTTTTGAAGACCAAAGCCCAGAGACACAGGCCCACTAAAAGATTGAGATGATAAATACTTCTCCTCTCCACACACACCTTAAATCATACCAACAGAGATGAGAGAGCATAACACGCAACAGGGATTTTTAAAACGGTATTATAGCTGAGAGAGCTGAAAGACATCAATTCCATCTAAGGAGGAATTCTTAGGGAAACCCAAAGGGAAGAGGGGAGAATAAACAAGGATGCTAGAAGAGTATAAAGCCTCTGTCCCCTACAGTAAACACAGCCCAACTCCTAGCCAGATTACCAAAACACCTCACGCTAAAGGCCTATTTTCCTCAGTCCCCATTACACAATAAATCATGTCCAGCTTTCAACCAAAAATTGCAAGGCATTCTAAAAGGAAAGAAAAATCACAGTCTGACGAGACAAACCAAGCATCAGAACCAGCTGCACAGATGACAGATTTTAGAAGTATCAGATAGGGAATTCAGAATATCTATGATTAATATGCTAATGGCTTTGTATTAGTTTGCCCAGCCTGCCATAACAAAATACCACAAACTGGGTGGCTTAACAACATGAATTTATTTTCTCACAGTCTCTAGAGGCTGGAAGTCTGAGATCAAGTTCTCAGCAGGCCTGCTTTCCTCTGAGACCTCCCTCCTTGGCTTGCAGACGCCACCCTCTTGCTGCCTCTTCATGTGGTCATCCCTCTGTGCACACAGGCCCCTGGGGTTTCTCCATGTATCTTCATCTTCTCTTCTTATAAAGACACCAGTCTCACTGGACTAGGGTCCACCCTAATGGCCCAATTTTACTCTAATGAAAAGTCCCTATCTCTAAATACATTAACATTCTGAGAGACTGAGGGTTAGAACCTCAACATATAAATGGGGGGTGGGGAGGGGGAGAACACAATTCAATATATAACAAATTCTAATGGCAAAGTAGAAATATGAAAGAACAGATGTATAATATAAACAGAAATGGAAATTCCAGAAAAGAATCACATTTCAGCTTACATATTCTCTCCTCACAGAGGCCATCCCTTATCGCCCACTCATTGTCAAGCCCATTAACCTATTTTAGTTCTCTCAATAATAGTTATTCTATGAAATAGGAATAAGTGTTCTTCCTTAGTCTGAAAGCTTCATGAAAGCAGAACATTGGCTGTGTTGTTCACCACCTTACAGTAAGGGCTCAGTAAATATTTGCTAAATGAATGGAAAGGATTTATTTTATGTGGCTAAGGCTGATGGGATACAAGGGACACAAATGATAAGGAAATTTCTGGACAAATTGCATCACTAGTCAAGCTGAAGAGATAGCTATGTGAGCCCCCTGAAAGGGTAAAATAAAACAGGCCACTTTATCCATGAGACAAATGCTGTCAAGGGCACAACCCAAATGGAACAACCTCATGAGGACATCATCCTAAGGAAAACATGGAACAACTTCATGAGGACGTCATCATAAGGAAAACACTACAGCAGGGTGACAGCCTTTGAGGGGAACACAGACGAAAAGAATGTGAATGGCTGATAACGCACCAAAACTCTGCTCACAACATAGGTAGAAGAATAACACAGAGCTCAGGTCTAATCATGAAAAGCCTCATTACTTGAGACTGAGAACATTTACGATAGTCATGGCTGAACTTTGGGTTTAAAGACACATGAGGCAACTTAAATGAAAAAGAAAATTGCCTGACATCAGCAGAAAGATGACACAGATGTTCAAATTATCTGATATGATTTATGGTGGTTTTAAATCGGCCATCAAAAAATTTCTTTAGTGAGCAACTGTGCTAGAAACCAATGAGAAAAAAACAACATATAAAGAAAACCAAAATGGAAAAATTAAAACAGAAAAAATAAAATAACTGAAATTAAAATCTTGGTGAAGACAGAATGGAGGGGACAGAGGCAAAAAAAAAAAAAAAAAATCAGTAAATTGGAAGATAGGACGACAGAAACTACCCATTCTGGGTAACATTATCAAGATAGCCAGCTAGAAGTGCCTAGCATTCAACCCCCTCACAGAGACAGCCAGAACAATGAATACACAACTACATGTTAACAAAAACAACTGAGGGAGAGTGCTAAAGTGCATTAGAGGAGTAACAGAAACCCTGGCGAGCCCAGAAATTCATGATAGTCACAAAAAGAACAGAAGGAAATGCCGGGCCCCTGGCACCCCATCCCCTAACCAGGGTCAGCTAGAACCCAGGAAAACACCTCCCTTCAGTGAGGAGGTAATCAAGAGGACCCCAGCAGCCCCCACCAACACCGTGGACACCCACCGCCCTCACCCTTGGGGTCCCTTGCAGTCCTCACAGGCACGAAGCCCAGGGTGGAGTGAGCTGCCTGGAGGCCACACCACTGTGCTCCCGCCGGAGAAGGAATCGACACTGTGCCTGCCCCCGTGGCCCTCACGGTGCCCTCTTGGAACTGGAACTACTGCTGGAGTGTATCTTGTTCCTGGGGTAGCAGCCCCAGCTCCCCTTCACCCCTGAAGCTAAGCCGCTGCCCAACCACCCCAGCCCAGTGGCCCCACATCCCCCAGCCAAGCTGCAGGCAGCTGTTACACCTCCTCTGTGGGGCCAAGCAAAGGTGGGGCCACTCCACTACCCGCTCTTGCCCCCTCAGGCTGGAGCTAAAGCCATAAACGGCCTCCAGGGAAAACAATACCTTGGCTGCTCAGAGCAGTCATGCCTCCTGGAACCCAAGTTGAAGAAGCACTCTGCATCCAGGGAAATGCCTGGGCCACCCAGGACAGTCCCGTCCCTCAGGCCTGAGTGGAAGCGACACACCACCGCAAGGGGAATCAGTGCCCTGGCTGAGCTGAGCAGCTGCACATCCCAGGGCTGAGCTGATGCAGTGCCCTACATCCCAGAGAAACAGAGCAGTAGCTGAGCCCAGACATCCCACCTTACAGGCCAAACAACTCAACTGCCTGCTTCCCTAGAGCTGAACTAGCCCCCCACCCCAGTCTGAGCTGCTGAGACACCTCTCTCCCTGCAGAGTGGAGTCATGGATACGCTGCTTCCCACCCTCCTCAGGGCCCCAGTGACAGGTGTGCTCTGTCATTCTGGGGTACGTTCTCCTGCCACACATGGCCTCACAGAGTCTGGGATACTTACAAGCCCCACCATCCCAGGGTCTTGAGTCATTATTACACAGTGTCACATCCCCTGGGACCGGAGCTGCCACTGAGCCCTGTTGGCTCCGGTTCCGGAACTGCAGCCATACCCTGGCTCCCCAGGCCCAAGCCCCCAGAGCACCCCTTCTTCCTCAGAGTTCCGCCAGTGCTGTACCCTGCCCCACCCCCTGGGGTAGAATCACAGTTACAACCTGGCCCCCTGGGCCCGAGCTGCTAGAGGGTGCCTCAGAGTCACAGATCCTGGCTCTGAGGGCCACCTAAATCCAACCCTGCCATAAGAGAGCAAACCTGTACCCCAAGACCCACATGCCACAATAGGGGTCGCAACCCAGCCCTGCAACCATTACAAGCACCTACACCTGGAACCCAGCACCATGGCAGCTGCTTGTAGGCCATGTCAGAGCAGACATCAAAGGAATTCCCCTCAGCTAAGTCTCCCCATTGCAAGGAAAATGAGACCAGGAGGACCCCAAAAGCCCTTGATACCAAGGACATTAACAACTTACACTGTCACCACCACTGTAACAAACTTCTATAGCCTGGGCCACTGAGGCTAACACTGAACACAGCTGAAAAAGGTTCATGGAGACTATACCACTGCACCTAACCAGCAACAGTCACTACACCTTTCCTAAATGGCACACTAAAACCCAATTTCAGGTAAAAGTCTCTCTCTACAAAAGCCATGCTAGAAAATCTGGAAAAGGCAATTATTCCACCATATGTACAGACATCAATGCAGGGACACAAGAAACATCAAAAAGCAAGGAAATAGGACACCACCAAAGGAACATAATAACTTTCTAGGAATAGAAGACCCCATCAAAGAGAAAATCAGTGAACTGCCAAAAAGAAAAATTCCAAATGATCTTAAGGAAACTCAATGAGACACAAGAAAATACATATAGACAATTCAACAAAATCTGGAATTCATGATCCAAACAAGAAATTCAACAAAAAGTCAGAAATCATAAGAAAGAACTAAACAAATCCTGAAGCTGAAGAATTCAATGAATTACATTTAAAATACAATAGAGAGCTTCAACAGCAGACTTGATCAAGCAGAAGAAAGAATCTCTGAATATGAAGACAGGTCATTTGAAACTGCCCACTCAGAGGGGAGAAAGAAAGAAATAAGAATGAAAAAGAGTGAAGAAAGTCTGCAAGACTTATGGGACACTATTAAGCAAATGAATTTCATATAATGAGAATTATAGAAGGAGAAGAGAGATAAGGGAAGAGGTATAGAAATCCTACTTAAATAATAGCCAAAAACTTCAAAAGTCTGGGAAGACATATGGACATCCAGGTCCAGGAAGTTTAAAGGTCCTTAAATAGATTCAACCAAAAAAAATTATTCCCCAGGCACACTGTAGCCAAATTGTCAAAAATCAAACACAAAGATAAAATTATAAAAGCAGCAAGATAAAAGCATCAAGTCACATACAAAGGAATCTTCATTAGACTAGCATAAAATTCTCCACAAAAACCTTACAGCCCAGAAGAAAATGTGATGTAATATTCAAAATGATGGCAGAATAAAATTGGCAGCCAAGATTATTATACCCAGCAAAGTTATCCTTCAGAAATGAGGGAGACATAACGTCTTTCCCAGACAAGCAAAAACTTAAAGGAATTCGTCACTACTAGACTGGCCTTACAAGAAATGCTCAAGGAAATCCTACATCTGGAAGTGAAAAGATGATAAACACTCTCTTAAAAACCCACAAAAGTATAAAACATACTGGTACAGCAGATACACAAGGGAGAAAGAGAAAAGAATCAAGCCTTATCATTAAAAAACCTCACTAAACCTCAATGATAAAAAACAAGATAGGAAGAAGGAAACAAAGACTATACAAAACAACTGCAAAACAACAAAATGACAGGAGTAAGTCCTTACCTATCACTAATAAAATTAAATGTAAACAGATTAGATTCCCCCACTTAAAAGACATAGACTAGCTGAATTAATTTGAAAAAATATTAACTCTCTAGTAACAGACCCCAGTGAAAAGCAAACTACATATTGCCTACATGTAACTCATGTCATTTGTAAAGACACATATAGACTGAAAGCAAAGGGATAAAGAAAAGATATTCCACACAAATGAACACCAAAAGCAAGCAGGGGTAGCTTTATTTATATCAGTTAAAATAGATTTTATGTCAAAAACTATAAAGAAGGTCATTATATAATGTTAAAAAGATCAATTCAGCAAGAGGATATAACAATTCTGAACATATATGCACCCAACACTACAGCACCCAGATATATAAAGCAAATGTTATTAGATCTAAAGGGAGAGATAGACTCCAATATGATAATAGTTAAAAATTTAAACACCCCACTCTCAACATGGAACAGATCACCTAGACATAAAATTAACAAGGAAACTTTGGCTTTAACCACACATTAGACCAAATGGACCTAACAGATGTTTACAGAACATTTCATCCAACAGCTACAGAATACACTTTCTTCTTATCAGCACACAAAACCTTTTCCAGGGTGGACCATGTTAGGACACAAAACAAGTCTCAACAAATCTAAAATAATTAAAATTATAGCAAGTATCTTTTTTGACCACAGTGGAATAAAACTAGAAATCAACAATAAGGAACTTTCAAAATTGGGCAAGTATGTGTGAATTAAACAACCTGCTCCTGAACAATCAATGAGTCAACAACAAAATCAAGAGGAAAATTTTAAAATTAATTGAAACAAATGAAAATCAAAACACAATATATCAAAACCAATAGGATATAGCAAAAGCAGTGCTAAGAGGGAAATTTAGAGCAATAAATGTCTACATCAGAAAAGTGGAAAGATTTTAAATAAATAAGCTAATAATGTATTTCAAGGAAATACAAAAGCAAGAACAAACCAAACCCCAAACTAGTACAGGGAAAGAAATAATAAAGATCAGAGAAGAAATAAATAAAATTAAGGCCAGATGTGATGGCTCATGCCTGTAATCACAGCACTCTGGAAAGCGGTGATGGGAGACTCACCTGAGCCCAGGTATTCAAGACGAGCCCGGGTAACAAAGCGAGACCCCGTCTCTACCAAACAAACAAAAACACCCACTTGTCAGGTGTGGCAGCGTGTGCCTATAATGCAAGCTACTCAGGAGGCTAAGGTGGGAGGATTGCTTGGCCCCAGCAGGTCAAGGCTGCTGTAAGCAGTGATTGTACCGCTGCACTCCAGCCTGAGTGACAACAAGACCATGTCTCAAAAACAAAACAAAATTAAGAGTAAAAAGCAATACAAAATATCAACAAAACAAAAAGTTGGTTTTTTGAAAAGTTAAACAAAAATCAAAAACCATTAGCTAGAGGAACCAAGAAAAAGAGAAAAGACCCAAATCAATAAAATCAGAAATGAAAAAGGAGACATAACAACTGATATTACATAAATAGAAAGGATCATGAGAGGCTATTAAAAAGAACTCTATTCCAACAAATTAGAAAACCTAGGGGAAATGGATAACTTCCCAGACACATACAACCGACCAAGAAGAACAAAGAAGACACAGAAACCTGAAGAGACCAGTTACAAGTAACAAGATTCAATCTGTTAAAGAAAAGCCCAGAATGGGATGGCTTCACTGTAGAATTCTACCATGCATTTAAAGAACTGATACCAATTCTTCTCAAACTCTTCCAGAAAATTGAGGAGGAAGGACTTCTTCCAAACTTATGCTATAAGGCCAACATTACCTTGATACCAAAACCAGATAAGGACACAACAACAAAAACAACAGGCCAACATCCATGATAAACACGGATGCAAAAATTCTCAACAAAACACTAGCAAACCAAATACAGCAGCATATTACACAGATCATTCACCATGATCAAAAAAGATTTATGCCAGAGATGCAAGCATGGTTCACCACATGCAAATCAACAGATATTATACAACATATTAATAGAATTAAGTGCAAAAACCATATGGTCATCTCAACAGATAAAGAAAAAGCATTTAATACCATCTGGCATCGCTTTATGACAAAAACTCTTAATAACTTAGGTACAGAAGCAACACAATAGAGGCCATATATGACAAACCCATAGCCAACATCATAATGAACAGGGAAAAGCTGAAAGCTTTTCTTCTAAGATCTGGAATAAGACAAAGATTCCCACCATCACCACTCCTATTCAAGATAGTACTGTAAGTCCCAGCTAGAGCAATTAGGCAAGAAAAAAATAAATAAAGGGCATCCAAATTGGAAAAGAGGAAGTCAAATTGTCCCTGTTTACAGACAACATTATTGTATACACAGAAAACTCTAAAAGGTCCACCAAAAATTGTTAAAATAAATGAATTCAATAAAGAAAGTTGCTGAACACAAAAATCAACATGCAAAATTCAGCAGCATTTCTATACACCAATAACACAATCTCAAAAATAAATCAGTGAGGCAATCCCATTTACAATAGCTACAAAAAATATTTAGGAATAAATTTAACCAAATTTAAACATGAAGTAAAAGATCTCAAAAAGAAAAACTATAAAACACCGATGAAAGAAACTGAAGACACAAACAAATGGAAAGACATCCCATGTTCATAAACTAGAACAATAAATATTGTAAAAATGACCATACTACCAAAAGCAATCTACAGAATCAATGCAATCCTTGCCAAAATACCAATGACATTCTTCACAAAAAAAAAAAAAAAACAGAAAAAACAATCCTGAAATTCATAATGGAAGTACAAAAGACTCCAAATAGCTGAAGCAATCCTGAGCAAAAAAAAACAACAACAAAAAAAAAAACAGACTATCACACTACTCTACAAGAATGGCTAGACCACACAAAATCTTGTATAGGAATGTTAATCTAGCAGCATGATTCATAACATCCAAAAAGTGGAAATAACCCAACGTCCATCAAATGATGAATGGGCGAACAAAATGTCGTATATACACATAATGGGATATTAGGTCATAAAAATGAATGGTGTACTGACACATGATACAACATAGATGAATTCTGAAAACACACTAAGCCAGACACAAAAAGCCACATACTGTACAACACTAATTTTATAAAATGTTCATAATAGGCAAATCCATAGTGACAGAAAGCAGATTAGTCATTGCCAGGGATGGAGTCACTGCTAATAGGTATGGGGGTTTCTATTGGTGGCAATGAAAATATTCTAAAATTAGACAATGGTAATGCTTGCACAACTCTGTGAACATACTAAAAACCACTGAATTGTGTATTATGAATGAACTTTACAGCATGCAAATTATATCTCAATAAAGCCATTTTTAGAAAAATGATGTGAGAAAAATAGAAAAATTCTAACAAGAGCTAAAGATTATCTAAAAATATCATACCAATGTTAATTTTGTGGTTTTGGTAACTGTTCTATGGTTATGTAAGATGCTAACATTAGGGGAAGCTGGGTGAGAGTTACTTGCTACTATTTTTCCAACTTTTCTATAAAGTGGGGCCAGGCATGGTAGCTCACTCCTGTAATCACAGCACTTTGGGAGGCTGAGGTGGGCAGATCACCTGAGGTCAGGAGTTTGAGACCAGCCTGGCCAACATGGTGAAACCCATCTCTACCAAAAATACAAAAATTAGCTGGGCACCTGTAGTCCCAGCTACTCTGGAGGCTGAGGTGGGAGAATTGCTGGAACCTGGGAGGTGGAGGTTGCAGTGAGCTGAGATCATGCCACTGCACTCCAGCCTGGGTGACAGAGCAAGGCTGTCTCAAAAAAAAAAAATCTGGATGTCAAAATAAGGTTAAAATTTACATAGGGTAAACTGCATAAATCTTATGAGTAAAATTAAGGTCTAACAGAAATGCATGCACCACAAAAAACATCGCTCTGTCAAGATACAGTGTGTCTCTCCCCCTGCCATGAAGCTCCCTCATGCCCTCCTGTCCCTTCTAGGCAGCCCAACCCATAAGTGACTGATGCTCTGGTTTCTACCACCCTAGATTAGTTCTGCTTATTCTTGAAAATCACAGGAATGGAGCCACACAGAAAACAAACCCCAATAAAGCACTATTTCACTATTAAAGCTCTGGCAAATGAAAATAAATAAAATTACATTCTGCTTGGTTTCTTCTACAGTTTCTCAGTTTAGTCCCCTCTTGACATTCTGGGGCTATTTTCTCCTCACAAAGTTCTATCAAGAGCTTGGATGGACATGAAAACCCTGCCTGTATCTCACCACGTTTCCTCCCAACAGTAGACAGATTTTTTTTGTTAATGTGCTCGCTCATTAAACCATTTGTGAGTGGGAAGGAGTATGGGGCAGAGAATCTACGCTGGTGACCTGGAGCAGCCAGCGTAACAAGAGGGCCACCAACAACTCTGAACACTGAAACAATCTCAACCAGGCACTCGGAAAGCTCCCCTGGCTGATGGCCTCCAGCTGGAAGGTCTCAAGTCACAGGTCTCTGCCATGGACAAATGCTTCTGGTAAGCATACGGCCACTCAGTCACATCTATCAGCAGCAGCAGCATCTGGCAGGAACTGTGCCTGTGGCTAGGCTTAAATAACTGCACCAATCCACGCTGAACAGCTGAGAAGCAACTGAGTCTACCAGCTGTGCCAGTTCAATTCACAGGCATCCACTGCAGGCCCAGCCACTGGACAGAGGATGTACTGCTGGGCAATGACTGGTTATCATTACTGGCAGGCAACATTCTTCCCTACTCTCTGCAGGGATTTGGGGAGAAAACTCAGAATGAGAGGTAAAGATGTAACCATGCTTCAATAAAATGATGAGGAACTTTAAAATCCCATTTCTTTATACACACAGCCAAACTGAAACATCTTATCCTAAAGCTGGTGCACGCTGACTTAGGTTCCTTAGAAAGAAGGCTCCACCAGGCACGGGCATCTGTCTGATAGGAAGCAAGGTCTACAAACTCCCTCCTTGCCCATACTTCTCTTCACCGCCCCTTCCTATTCTCCATGTCACACTCACTGTCAACATCAAGGTAGCTCAATGTTTCCCAAACTGGGTCCCTCAGGACACTAGTTCCCCACAATGGTAAGAGGGTTTTCATATGTCCCACGCTCACACCCAGTGGGAAGGGGAAGGGAGGGAAAAACAAAATGGCACTCAGAGTTAAGTCACAGCTAACTGAGAACAAGGAGATGGCACTGAGACACCCTAGCTCCACATGCCCTTGTGATAGCTCTTGTCGCAGGCATTGATTTCCCAGTGCCACATTTCTCAGACATGGGCACTCATGCTAACACAAAGAAAACTCACCAAACTCGGCCTGGAGGACACCCTGACAGCTATGCTGGCTCCTTGGTACTTGCTGGTGGGCTCCTCAGGCACATGCTCACAGGGCCCTATTGTCAACCACACCTTCAAATGACAATAAACAAATCTATCTTTACTTATCTGCTAATTGTCTGTTTTTCTAAAACTCACACATTAAATGCATAAACTATAATAACACATGAGGCACACTGAGTGTGCAGCACCATGTGGAGGCGCAAACACAGACTCTGGAGTCACTCACCAGCAGCCCCTCGGCAAAGCCATGTCACCTTGCTAGGCCTTTGTTTTCTCATCTATAAACTGGTTTTAAATTCTCTACACCACTATTATAAAGACTAAATAAAGGAGGAGATACCAGCAAAACTGTCTATCACACTTGGTAGATAGTAGGCATTCCATAAACAGTAATTTCCAAATTACACAAACTAAAGCCTCACCCCACCCCCATGCTCTCCTCCAACACCCCATGCCTGCCACATGGGCCTCTGGCTCTGCTAACACACCCCACCTCGGGCGCTTGTACATGTTGATCCCTCTGGCTGGAACGTGCCTTCCCAGACACCCTAAGAGCTTGCTTCGCTTCCTTTCCAACTTGGGCCTGGCAGAATGGCTCCTACAAAGGGTGGCGAGAAGAAAAAGGGCCGTTCTACCATCAACAAGGTGGTGACCTGAGATACGCCATCAACATTCACAGCACATCCACAGAGTGGCCTTCAAGAAGCGTGCCCCTCAGGCACTCAAAGAGATTTGGAAATTTGCCATGAAGGAGATGGGAACTCCAGATATGTGCATTGATACCAGGCTCAACAAAGCTGTCTGGACCAAAGGAATAAGGAATATCCCATACCGCATCCGTGTGCGGTTGTCCAGAAAATGTAAAGAGAATGAAGATTCACCAAATAAACTCTATACTTTGATTACTTATGTACCCGTTACTGCTTTCAAAAATCTATAGACAGTCAATGTGGATGAGAACTAACAGCTGATCATCAAATACATCAAATAAAGTTATAAAATTGCCTTAAAAAAAAGAGCTCACTTCCCTCTTCTTTCAGATCTTCGTGTGGATGTCAACCGCTCAGTGGTCTTCCATGACCACTCTAAAATTAAAACACAAAAGCTACCCCTCTCAGGTCTCCCGCCCTTTACCCTCCATGGCATTAAATATCACAGAGTCCACAGTGCCCTGCGCTGCTTTACTGGCGCTGCTGTCTCTCCTCACTGGCTAGCTCCATGAAGGCAAGGACTTGGGGCTGTCTGGCTTGCTGCTGTGGCCTCAGTGCCTAGAACAGGACCTGGCACGTAGTGGTGAGTGAATTAGTGATGTTTAGTGATAGACACTGTTTCTAATTATGTAATTAGAAAGAAGGAGGACTACTACTAAGTGTAAATCTGATTAAAGATATTGAAGACCTCCATTCAGAAAACTACAATACCCTGTTGAGAGAAAGACGGCCCTAAGCAGTGAAGAAATGTATCATGTCATGTACTGGAGGTCTCAACACTCTAAAAACGTCAATTCTTCCAAACTGATCTACAGATTCCATGAAATTTCCATCAAAATCAACACGGTGTCCTTTGTGGAATTTGACAGGCAGATTCTAAAATTTATATGGAAAGGAGACAATAATAGTGAAGGCATTTTTTGAAGAAAAACAATGTTCGTTCTAGGTATCAAAAACTTATCCATCTTGACAAGAGGCAATGTAGCACTGCAGGATGGGAGACTGGCCGAGTGCAATGGAGAGCACAGACACAGACCCCACACACGTGTGGGCACCGAGGAGAGTGGGGAAAGCACAGTGCCCTCCGCAGTCAGTGCTGGGTCTGTGAGAACCCTGGGGAACGCTTAACTTGACCCCTATCACAGAGCATGCCCAAAGATAAATGCAAAAGGCAAAAAGAGAAACCGAGGAGAAAATATAGGCAGATATATTCATGACCTTGAGGTAAGCAGACATTTTCTTAACAGGATACATTAAGCACTCAGAGTACATTCAAATCAGGAACTTCTGTTCATCAAAACATACCATTAAGAGAAATAAAGCAAGACATGGAGTGGTAAAATAAATGCGCAACTTTAATAAAATCAAAAAAGATTCTGTATCCAGAATATACAAATTCAGACAACCTAAAAGAAAAAAAGGCAAGAGCTCTGAATAGGTTGTGACAAAAATGGATATCCAAATGGCCAGTAAACACAGGAAAAGGTGCTCCACTTCAGAACTCATAAAAACAATGCAAATTAAAACCACAATGAGCCAGCCCTCCATCCCCACAGAATGGCTACAATGAAGATCTCTGACAATACCAGGTGTTTCCAAGAAAGAAAAGCAACCAGAACGCTCCTTTGCTGTTGGTAAATGTTCACACCTGATATAACCACTTTGCAAAACAGCCCAGCATAAACTACTAGAGGTGAAGACATGCACTTCTATAGATCCCAAACTTCCATTCCTAAAGATAAACGCAACAGGAAAACATGCACATGTCCTTTACCAAACGACAAGTACAAGAATGTTAGAGAAGTACTATTTGTAAAGGCCAATAACTAGAAATAATCCAAATGTGCATCAATAGTAAAATGGATAACTAAACTGGTAAATTCATACAATAGAATACAGGTTGAGCATCATCAATCTGAAAATCCAAAACCCAAAGTGCTCCAAAGTTGGAAACTTTTTGAGTGCCAACATGATGACACAAGTGAAAAATTCCACACCTGACTTCACACGACAGGTTACAATCAAAAGGCAGGCACACAACACACAGTTTATTCAGAGTCACCAAGGGAAAAGAGACCGTTCAGGTCCCTTTGGCTGCGATGTCTTTTCCATGCAGGCCCGGATTCCCCAATGCAAGCACACCCACAAAGGTAATAAAATGGTGTGTGTGCAGGCCAGTGCACCAAGGGCAGGTTCCCCACATTGCCCCATGGAGGGCCAGTAAATACTGTTAAATACTTAGGTGTGCATAAGTGAGAGAAAATGACTGCTTGTCAGCCACTTATAAATTCAGAGTCAGGAATGATGGTGATGCAAACAACCACAGAATGTCTACATGGGCGGCTCAGAGAGTGACACCTTTACTTTCTGATGGTTCAACATACACAAATTTTGTTTCATGTACAAAATTACTAAAAGTACTATATAAAATTACCTTCGGGCTATGTCTATCACAGGTATATGAAATACATATGAACATGTTTAGACTTGGGTCCTATCCCCAAGGTATCTCATTATGGATATGCAAATATTCCAAAATCCAAAACAATCTGAAATCTGAAACACTTCCTGTCCCAAGCATTTCAAATAAGGGATATTCAACCTGTACTATAGAGCAGTGGTTCTCAACCAGGGCGAGGGGCATTTTGCCATCCCAGAGGGCAATCTGAACATCTGGAAACATTTTTGATTGTCACAAGTGGGAGACACTATTGGTATCTGGTGGGTAAAGACCAGGAAGACTGCTAAAATCCCTACAGTGAACAGGGCAGCCCCACAGCAGAGCATCATTAAGCCTGAAACGTCAGCAGTGCTGAGAAACCCTACGAGGTGGCAGTGAAAATGAACCACAGCTACATGCAACAGCACGATGGACCTCACTAGCAAAGTGCTCAATGAAAAAGCCAACATCAAAGTATGGTTTCATTTATATAATGTTCAAAAATGGGAAAATGGGAGTGGGTAGTGATGAGGAAGAAGCACACGCATTTCCTGGGTGCAGGCAACATGCCATTTCTCACCCTGGGTGGTGGTGAACAAATGTTCCTTTGTAATTATTCTCTGAGCTTCACTTTTATGTTTCTGTACTTTTCTCTAGGTATGCTGTGCTTCTCATTAAAAATGTTTTGAGACCAGGCATGGTGGCTTATGTCTGTAATCCCAGGACTTTGGGAGGCCGAGGCAGGTGTTTCACTTGAAGTCAGGAGTTCGAGACCAGCCTGGCCACCATGGCAAAACCTTGTCTCTAGTAAAAACACAAAAATTAGTTGGGCGTGGTGGCACACGCCTGTAATCCCAGCTACTGGGGAGGCTGAGGCAGAAGAATCGCTTGAACCTGAGAGGAGGGGGTTGCAGTGAGCTGAGATTGCACCACTGCACTCTAGCCTGAGCAACAGAGTGATACTCTGTGTCCAAAAAAAAAAAAAAAAGGGTTTTGAGGCTTCAAGATGGCTGACTAGACAGATCTGGTGCTCACCTCTTCCACAGAGAAGAACCAAAATAGCAAGTAATCACACTTCAAATAGATAACCTAAGAGAGAACTTTGGAATTCAACAAAGAAACATTCAGAAACACCAAAAGCAAGGAAGGAAAGAAAACCAAGGCAGCTTGCTAGGCTGGGATCAACTGGGAGTCAGCAGTGGCTCCCTAATTGGGGGAAAGGGTAAGTGAAAGACCCTTCCCAGCAGTTCACATTGCTGCTGTGGACTTCTACAATCCACAGCCCTGGGAGAGTCCTTCAATTCTAGAGGACCCCAAGACTACTGCGGAGAGCTGCCTGAAGACTGTACAAAGGCACTGCTCCACAGAGAGCCCACGCTGGGTGCCACAACCCCCCAAATCCTAAGCTGCTGTGGCATGGCACCACTTGGAGAGTACAACCCCCAATGAACTGCAGCCTGCCCCGCCACCAGGGTGGAGGTGGGAGCCACAGGGAGTGATCCCCCACACCATCCCTGCAGATGGGTAGCCATGTATTTTCATGAGCTCCAAGGTCAAAGTCGACTACCTGCAACTGCTACCACTATGAGCTGCTGCAGGCCTGAGGTGAGGTGCAATCAAAGCCCATGCCCCCTAGGTGCCTGACTACAGCTGCTCCCAGGGAAAGAAACCCTGCCCTCCCCAGTAGCAGGGACACAATGAAACTCTGGCCACCCCTACCTGAGCATTCCACGGGAGGCCTAGGAATCACCTCGATGCTACTTACCACAGCCAATAACTACACTCCCCACCAAGGGACCTGAGGGCAGGTCCAGCCAGCCTGCCTCCACCATCCCTCCCTAGAACCAGATCACACTGTCCAGGGGCCTGGGGATCACCAGTAGCATCTCAGCAGAGTCTCCCAGAGTGGGTCAGGCCCACTCAGCTTGCTGCTACCACCACCGCTGCGACCCACCCATATGTGCCACCTGCAGGTCCAAGGACCAGCCCACCCAACCTGTCACAGCCGTCACAAACATCAGCACTTTGGAAAACAGCCCAGCATAAGCTACCAGAGATGAAGACCCCAAAGGGCTGTCCCACCACTGCTGTTGCCATCACCCACACCACAACTGCTGTTGCCATCAACCACACCACACCTGCTGCTCAGGGGCTCAGGAACCCACCCACCCACCCAACCCACCACTGCCATTCCTAGTACCCAAAGAAGCCACCTGGAGGCCCAAGAACTGGCCTGCCTGGACCTACTAACACTGGTGCCAGTGTACACCACCCTGGGGCCTGAGGACAGGCATGCTCAGTCCACCACTGCCACCACTGGGGCCAAAAGACTGGCCTACCTGGCACCCAGGTCAACAGCAAAATTTCACCACAGCCTCCACTAACAACCATACCCTAAGCCATTAAGAAAATCATAGATATCATTAATGCTGTTTACAGCCAAAGAAATCATACAGAGACTACACTACTGCACACACCCAGATTCAAAACCAAAGTGCCCTACCTACCAATACCACAGATACATCTTCGGGAAAATGTCCTCTCCTACGAAAGTAAATTCAAAAAACTTAGAAGAAATGACCATTATACCACAGAGATACTAATGCAAGGGTACAGGAAACATGAAAAAGCAAGAAAATATGACATCTCCTAAAGAAAACAATTCTCCAGCAACAGATTCCAATCAAAAAGAAATTTATGGAATACCAGGAAAATAATTCAAAATATTGATAGTAAGGAAGTTCAATAGCATACAGGAGAATGCTGAAAAATACAAAGGAATTTAAAAAGCAATTCAGGATAAGAATGAGAAATTTGATCCAAGAGATGGATATTGTATTGGTCCTTTCTCACGCTGCTAATAAAGACATACCCAAGACTGGGTGATTTATAAAGGAAAGAGGTTTAACTGAAAGAGGTTTAATTGACTCATAGTTCAGCATGGCTGAGGAGGCCTCAAGAAACTTACAATCATGGCAGAAGGTGAAGCAAACACATTCTTCTTCACACAGAGGCAGGAAGAAGTGCTCAGCAAAGGGGGAAAAGCCCCTCATAAAAACATCAGATCTTGTGAGGACTCACTCACTATCACGAGAACAGCATGGGGGTCACTGCCCCCACGATTCAATTACCTCCCACCAGGTCCCGCCCAAGACATGTAAGGATTATGGGAACTACAATTGAAGATGAGATTTGGGTGCAGACATAGCCGAACCTTACCAGGTATCATAAAGAAGAGCCAAACAGAAATTCTGTAACTGAAAAATTCATTGAATGAAATACAAAACAAATTCAAAAGCTTCAATAATAACTAGAGAAGCCAAAGGAAAAAAATCTCAAAACTTGAAGGCAGACCATTTGAAATAACCCAGAGAGACAAAGATTAAAAAAAAAAAAAAAAAGAATTAAAAAGAATCAGCAAAGGCTTTGTAACATATAGGACATCATAAATCAAATATTCAAATTTTTGGTGTCCCAGAAGGTAAAGAAAAAGCAAACAGAAACTTATTTAACAATAGATGAAAACTTCCCAAGTCTAGAAAGAGATTTAGACATCTAGATACAAGAGTCTCAATGATCCCCAAATAGATAAAATTCAAAAAGATCCTCTCCACAGTACATTACAGTCAAACTGTCAAAAGTCAAATACAAAGAGAAAAATTTAGAAACAGCAAAAGAAAAGCATCTAGTCACCCACAAAGGAACCCTCATCAGACTAACGGATTTCTCAGCAGAAACCTTACAAGCCAGGAGAGAATGTGATGATACATTCAAAGTGCTGAAAGAGAAAAAAAACTGCCATTCAAGGATACTATTTGCAGCAAAAGTATCCTTTATAAATAAAGGACAGATGAAGTATTTCTTGGACAAGCAAAAGCTGAGGGAATTCATCACCACTAGACCAGTCCTGTAAAAAATGCTTAAGGAAGTCCTACACCCAGAAGTGAAAGAACAGTAACTATAATCATGAAAACATATGAAAATATAAAAACCACTGGTAGAGCAAACACAGAAAAAAAGAAAAAACTTAAATGTTACCACTACAGATCACCACCAAACCACAATAATAAACAACAAGAGAGAAAGAATGAAACAAAGGATATACAAAACAATCAGAAATCAAGTAATAAAATGACAGAGGTAAACCTCACATATCAATAATAGCCTTGAATGTAAATGGATTAAATTTTCCACTCAAAAGATACAGACTGGCTCAATGAATTAAAAAAAAAAAAAAAAAAAACATGACCCAACTACATGCTGCCTACACAAAATTCATCTCACCTGTAAAGACACATATAGACTAAAATAAAGGGACAAGAAAAGATATCCCATGCAAATGGAAACAAAAAGCAAGCAGGGGTAGCTTTATTTATGTCAGATAAAACAGATTTTAAGTCAAAAACTGTAAAAAGAGACAAAAGAAGGTCATTATATAATGATAAAAGTATCAATTCAGCAAAAGGATATAACAATTCCAAACATATATGCACCCAACGCCAGAGCACCCAACACCAGAGCACTAGATAAAGCAAGTACTATTAGATCTAAAGGGAGAGACAGAATGCAATACAATAATAGTTGAAGACTTCAACACCCCACTCTCGGCATTGGATCACTCAGACAAAAAATTAACAAAGAAATATTGGATTGAAACTGCACATTAGACCAAATAAGCCTAGCAGACGTTACAGAACTATTTCATACAACAGTTACAGAACACACATTCTTCTCATTAGCACACAGAACATTCTCCAAGATAGACCACATGTTAGGACACAAAACAAGCAACAACAAATTTTTAAAAATCAAAATCATTCAAGTATCTTTTCAGGCCACAGTGGAATGTAACTCAAAATCAATAACAAGAGGAACTTTGGAAACTACGAATGCATGAAAATTAAACAATATGCTCCTGACTGACCACTGAGCCAAGAAAGAAATTAAGGAGGAAATTTTTAAAAAGTCTTGAAAACAAATGAAAACTGAAAAACATACCAAAACCAAATGGGATACAGCAAAAGCAATGCTAAGATGGAAGTTTATAGTAACAAATGCCTACATCAGAAAAAGTAGAATGATTTCAAATAAATAATCTAGCAGTGCACCTCGAGGTACTGGAAAAACAAAAACCAACCAAACCCAAAATTAGTAGAAAGAAACAAGTAATAAAGATCAGAGAAAAAAAAAACCACAAAGGATCAACGAAATAAAAAGTTGTTTTTTTGACAAGATAAAATTGATAAAGCACTTCCTAGACTAACCAAGAGAAGACACAAACAAAATCAGAAATTAAAAAGGAGACATTACAACTGATACCATGGAAATACAAAAGATCACCAGAGACTATTATGAACAACTATACACTAACTACCTAGAAAACCTAGAGGAAATGGATAAATTCCTACACACATACAATCTACTAGATTGAATCAGGAAGAAATAGAATACCTGAACAGAGCAATAACAAGAAATGAAATTGAATCAGTAATAAAAAGTCTCCCAGTGAAGTCCAAGACTGGATGGCTTCACTACCAAACTTCTACCAAACTTTCAAAGAATTAACACCAATTCTCCTAAAACTATTCCAAAAAATTGAAGAGAAAGGGATTCTCCCTAAATCACTCTATGAAGTCAGCATTATCCTGATAGTAAAACCAGACACGGATGCAACAAAAAAAGAAAAGTATATGCTAGGCCAGGTGCAGTGGCTCACACCTGTAATCCCAACACTTTGGGAGGCCGAGGTGGGTGGATCATGAGGTCAGGAATTCAAGACCAGCCTGGCCAACATGGTGAAACCCCGTCTCTACTAAAAATACAAAAATTAGCCAGGCATGGTGGCATGCATCTGTAATCCCAGCTACTTGGAAGGCTGAGGCAGAAGAATTGCTTGAACCTGGGAGGCAGAGGTTGCAGTGAGCCGAGATCACGCCACTACACTCCAGCCTGGGTGACAGAGCAAGACTCCATCTCAAACAACAACAACACAAAAAAAAAAAGAAAAGAAAAGACAATTATAGGCTAACATTCCTAATGAATATAGACTTAGAAATTCTCAGCAAAATACTAGCAAACTAAATCCAACGGCACATCAGAAAAATAACACATCATTATCAAATGGAACTTAACTTATCCCAGGGATTCAAGGATGGTTCAACATATGCAAATCAATAAACATGATACATTACATCAACAGAACAAACGACAAAACCATATGATCATTCAACAGATGCTAAAAAAGCATTTGGTAAAATTCAACATCCTTTTATGATAAAAACCTTAAAAAAACTAAGGATAGAAGGAATATACCTCAACAAAATAAAGGCCACGTGTGACAAATCCACAGCTAACATCATACTAAATGAGAAATGCTGAAATCCTTTCAGCCAAGAACTGCAACAAGACAAGATGCCCACTTTCACCACTCCTATCCAACATAGTACTGGAAGACCTAGCCAGAGCAATCAGACAAGATAAATAAATAAAAGGCAGCAAAATTGGAAAAGAAGAAGTCAAACTGTCCTTCTTTGCTAAAGATATGATCTTCTACCTAGAAAAATCTAGAGTCCACCAAAAAACTGTTAGAACTGATAAATCCAGTGAAGCTGCAGGATACAAAATCAATATACAAAAATCAACAGTGTTTCTATACACCAACAATGAACAAGCTGAGAAAGAAATAAAGAATGAAGTCGCATTTACAACAGCTACCAAAAAATTAAAATACCTAGGAATAAATTTATCCTAGGAGGCGAAAGATCTCTACAAGGAAAATGACAAAACACAGAAGAAAGAAATTAAACAGGACATAAACAAAAAGACATCCCATGTTCAAAGACTGGAAGAATTAATAGCCTCAAAATAATCATACTGCCCAAAGCCATCTACAGATTCAACGCAATCTCTATCAAAATACCAATGTCATTTTTCACAGAAATTGAAAAAAAATCTTAAAATTTGCATGGAACCAAAAGAATCCAAATAGCCAATGCAATTGTGAGCAAAAAAAAAGAAAAAAGAAAAGAAAAAGAAAAAAGCAAGAGGCATCATATTACCTGACTTCAAAACAGATTACAAAGCTTTAGTAACCGAAACAGCATGGTACTGGTATAAAAACAGACACACACACCAATGGAACAGAATCCAGAATCTAGAAATAAATCCACGTATTTACAACAGAGGTGCAAGAATATACCTTGGGGGAAGGACAGTCTCTTTGATAAATGGTGCTGGGAAAATTGGATATCCATATGCAGAAGAATGAAATTCGATCCCTATCTCTCACCAAATATTTAAAAAGCAACTCAAGATGGATTGAAGCTTAAATGTTAGACCCAAAACTAAAAACTACTAGAAGAAAATATAGGGAATACACTTCAGGACATTTGGTACAGGCAAATATTTTATAGCTAAGACCTTGAAAGCACAGACAACAAACAAAAATAGACAAATGAGACTATATTGAACTAAAAACCTTCTGCACAGCAAAAGAAACAACAGAATGAAGAGACAATGTGCTGAATGGGAGAAACTATTTGCAAACTATTCCTCTGACAAGGGGATCTATCTAAAAGGAACTCAAACAACTCAAATAAAAGAACAAATAATCCCATTAAAAAGTGAGCAAAAGATTTGAACAGATATTCCTCAAAATAAGCCATACAAATGGTCAATAAGTATACAAAAAAAAACCACTAATCATCAGGGAAATGCAAACTGAAATCACAATGAGATATCATCTTACCCAGTTAGAATGGCTATCACTAAAAAGACAAAAAACAGATGCTGGCGAGGATGTGGAGAAAAGGGAACTTTTACACATTGTTGATAGGCATGTAAATTAGAATAGCCACTACAGAAAACAGTATGGAGATTTCTCAAGAAACTAGAAATAGAACTACCACGTGATCTAGCAATTCCACTTCTGGATATTTATCCAAAGGAAAAGTAATCAATATATCAAAGGGATACCCCCATGTTTATTGCAGCACTGTTCCTAATAGACAAGAGACAAAATCAACCTACAAATGTCTGTCAACAGGTGAATGGATAAAGAAAATGTGGTATATATACACAGTGGAATACTGTTCAGGCTTAGAAAAGAATGAAATTATGTCATTTGCAGCAACATGGATAGAACTGCAGGTCATTAAGCGAAATAAGCCAGACACAGAAAGACAAATTTTGCATGTTCTCACTCATATGTGGAAACTAAAAAGTGGATCTCATGAAGGTTGAGAGTAGAGTGACTGATAGCAGAGGCTGGGAAGGGTCTGTGGGTTGAAGTGGGGATGAGAGAGGTTGGTCAATACAAACACAGTCAGATAGAAGGTGTAAGTACTAATGTTTGAGAGTAGAGTAGGGTGATGATAGTTAACAACAATGTATACTGTATTTCAAAGTAGCTAGAAGTATGTGAAATGTTCTCAATACATATAAATAATACTCAAGGTGATGGATACTCCAAATACCCTGACTTGATCAGCCTGATCAGTATATATTCTATGTGTGCAATAAAATATCACATATCACCCCATAAATATATAAAATATTATATATAAAAAAGCCTGAGAACAGAATGAAGGGAAGAATAAAGGAAGAGAAGGATGATGGAAGGGGAGGACAGAGAGAAGAAAAGAGAAAGAAAAAGAAACATTTGCCAAAGTCCTTCCCATATCTCCTGGTCAACTGAACTCGTGTTCTCCCAGACCCATGAACTCGGCAATAGGGTTCAGCAACTTCTGCCTACCCACCCTAACCCTTACTGACACATCCACTCCGATTCCTGGCTCTACCAGGATCCTCATGGCCTGGGCTCACATCCTGCTCTGCCACTTGCTCCCTGGGTGAATCAGCACTGACCTGGCAGGGCTGGCAAGTTAATGCATGGAAAGTGCTCACAATAGGGCTCAACACAGAGGAAGCACTGAGAACTGCTCACGATCACCACCATCACCTCATCAAGTACTTTGTACTGTCTGAATCTAGTTCATTTAAGTCTTGCCTTCTCGGCAAATTTCAAGTTCTGTCACACAGTATGCAAGGTGGTAACCCTCACAGATCCAAACCAGTGCTGTGTACACTCCCAGCTGACATTGCACCTGAACACATACCACTGTGGTGAGCAGGGTTGGCTGGACCCATTGAGATGTGCCTGCATCACAGTGAGGCCTAATGCACGTGAAATGCCTGGAGTTTCCCAGTCAAGTAGGAGTTGCTGTCCATACCCTGCATCAGGGACTATGTTCATGGGGTGTGCCAGCCCAGGCTGTCTGTCAATGCGTGCTCCCACACTGTCTAGTAGACTAAGATCTGATATCAGGTAAATTCTAAAAATAAATAATGCCAAACATATCTTCGAAATAAGCTACATGTCATCTGCCGCAGCACACTCAGCCAAGCAATAAAATCTACTTGGTTTTCCTCTGCTCTTTGCAGATCCTTTTCCTTTAAGCTAAAGAAATAGGTGCCTTGAGCATCAAACTGTAATTTTAAAATATCCTGAAAGCCACAGATGTTCTCAACTACAATCTAAGTAGTCATTCAAATCATGCCTTGTACACTGCTATTTGTTCCAAGTGACCAGCGAGCATTTTTAAAAATCTCTTATTTCTGTCAAGTTCTTCATAAATCTTTTTGGCCTTTCATGGTGTTGTTTCTTCTGACGGCAGCTGCCCTTGCCCTACACCGACATCTGATCATTTCTCTCAGATGATTACAGTACCCACCAGCTCTTACATATAAATGTCAATGTGTGTTACTCTGGAAACAACATGAAGGACATCTCTACAATTACTTCTCTGCAGTAAAGAAGAAAAAATTAAATGGGCCAAGAAAAACATCCCATTGAATTTTTTAAAACTAGTTTTATAAACCAACTGTATTAGTCCATTTTCACGTTGCTGATAAAGACATATCTAAGACTGGGAAGAAAAAGAGGTTTAATGGACTTACAGTTTCACATGGCTAGGGAGGCCTCACAATCATGGTGGAAGGTAAGGAGGAACAAGTCACATCTTACATGGATGGCGGCAGGCAAAGAGAGAGCTTGTGCATGGAAGTTTCCATTTTTAAAACCATCAGATCTCATAAGACTTATTCACTATCACGAGAACAGCACAGGAAAGATTCACCCCCATGATTCAATTATCTCCCACCAGGTCCCTCCCAGAACACATGGGAACTGTGGGAACTACAAGATGAGATTTGAGTGGGGACACAGAGCCAAACCATATCATTCAGCCCCTGGCCCCTCCCAAATCTCATGTCTTCACATTTCAAAACCAATAATACCTTCCCAACAGTCCCCTAAAGTCTTAACTCATTCAGCATTAACTCAAAAGTCACAATCCAAACTCTCATCTGAGACAAGGCAAGTCCCTTCTGCCTATGAGCCTATAAAATCAAAAGTAAGGTAGTTACTTCCTAGATACAATGGGGATACAGGAATTGGGTAAATATAGCCATTCTGAATGGGAGAAATTGGCCAAAACAGAGGGGCTACAGGCCCCATGCGAGTCCAAAATCCAGCAGGGCAGTCAAATCTTAAAGTTCCAAAACAATCTCCTTTGATTCCATGTCTCACATCCAGGTCACGCTGATGTAAGAGGTGGGCTCCCATGGCCTTGGGTAGCTCCACCCCTGTGGCTTTGCAAGGTATAGCCCCTCTCCTGGCTGCTTTCATGGGCTGGCATTGAGGGTCTTCGGCTTTTCCAGGTGCACGGTGCAAGCTGTCAGCGGATCTACCATTCTGGGGTCTGGAGGACGGTGGCCCTCTTCTCACAGCTCCCCTAGGTGGTGCCCCAGTAGGGACTCTGTGTGGGGGCTCCAACCCCACATTTCCTTTCTGCACTGCCCTAGCAGAGGTTCTCCATGAGAGCCCCATCCCTGCAGTAAACTTCTGCCTAGACAACCAGGCATTTCCATACATCCTCTAAACTCTTGGCAGAGGTTCCCAAAACCCAATTTTTGACTTCTGTGCACTGACAGGCTCAATACCACATGGAAGCTCCCAAGGCTTGAGGCTTGCACCTTCTGAAGCAGGACCTGAGCACTATGTTGGCCCCTTTCAGCCATGGTTGGAGTGACAGGGACACAGGGCACCAAGTCCCTAGGCTGCACAAAGCACAGGGACCCTGGGCCTGGCCCATGAAACCACTTTTTCCTCCTAGGCCTCTAGGCCTATGATGGGATGGGCTGCCACAAAAGTCTGTGACATGGCTGGAGACATTTTCTCCACTGTCTTAGGGCTTAACATTCAGCTCCTTGTTACTTATGCAAATTTCTTTAGCCAGTCTGAATTTCTCCTCAGAAAACAGGATTTTCTTTTCAATCGCATTGTCAGGCTGCAAATTTTCCAAACCACTTCCCTTATAAAACTGAATGCCTTGCATTACTTCCCGTTTTCACGATCTGCTGCTCGTCTCAGGCTCGTAGTTCGCCTTCAACATGCCGGAGCCAGCGAAGTCCGCTCCCGCGCCCAAGAAGGGCTCGAAGAAAGCCGTGACTAAGGCGCAGAAGAAGGACGGCAGGAAGCGCAAGCGCAGCCGCAAGGAGAGCTACTCCGTATACGTGTACAAGGTGCTGAAGCAGGTCCACCCCGACACCGGCATCTCCTCTAAGGCCATGGGAATCATGAACTCCTTCGTCAACGACATCTTCGAACGCATCGCAGGTGAGGCTTCCCGCCTGCCGCATTACAACAAGCGCTCGACCATCACCTCCAGGGAGATCCAGACGGCCGTGCGCCTGCTGCTGCCCGGGGAGTTGGCCAAGCACGCCGTGTCCGAGGGCACCAAGGCCGTCACCAAGTACACCAGCGCTAAGTAAACTTGCCAAATTGATGCCTGCAGCTCCTGGGGAAAGTGGAAGTCAGATAACTCCTTTATGAAAAGGCAGCATTCAAAAACTATAAAAAATATAAATCCAACATTATTAAAATTTTGCACATCCAAAGATATCACGAACAGTTAAAAACAAACCCACAAGGTGACAGAATATATTTGTCACATACTGACAAAAAGTTAAAACTCAAATATATAAAGAATATTTACAAATCAAATCTCATAAAATAAAAACTGTAGAGAATCTGAATAGACCATTCCAAGGAAAGTGGGAAAATCTCCAAATAGCCAAAAATCTCATTTAGAAAAACTCCGATTTCACATTAGGAAATGCTGATAAACAATAACTCTCAAGCACTGCTGGTGGAATATGGGAGTATAAATTTAAAATACTACCCTGGAAAGCAAATTGTTCATTTTTATTCATGTTGAATATGCACATTTACCAAATAATTCCACTTCCATGTAACCAGAAAATGCACAGCTGTATACAGTGCTGTTTTGTAATGAGGAAAAAAAATCAACAGAGAAATGAATAAAGTATTTACTGACAAAAAAAAAAAAAAACAAAACTGAATGCCTTTAACAGCACCCAGGTTATCTCTTGAATTCTTTGCTGCTTAGAAATTTCTTCCACCAGTTACCCTAAATCATCTCTCTCAAGTTCAAAGTTCCACAGACCTCTAAGGCAGGGGCAAAATGCCACCAGTCTCTTTACTAAAACATAACATGACAAGAGTCACCTTTGCTCCAGTTCCCAACAAGTTCTTCATCTCTGTCTGAGACCACCTCAGCCTGGACTTTATTGTCCATATCATTATCAGCATTTTGGTCAAAGCCATTCACCAAGTCTCTAGGAAGTTCCACACTTTCCCTCATTTTCCTCTCTTCTTCTGAGCCCTCCAAACTGTTCCAACATCTGCCTGTAACCCAGTTCCAAAGTCACTTCCACATTTTTGGGTATCTTTTCCGCACAACCCACTCCTGGTACCAATTTACTGTATTAGTCCATTTTCACGCTGCTGATAAAGACATATCCAAGACTGGGAAGAAAAAGAGGTTTAATAGACTTACAGTTCCACATGGGTGGGAAGGCCTCACAATCATGGCAGGAGGTAAGGAGGAGCAAGTCACATCTTACATGAATGGCAGCAGGCAAAGAGAGATCTTGTGCAGGGAAACTCCCATTTTTAAAACCGTCAGACCTCGTGAGACTTATTCACTATCATGAGAACAGCACAGGAAAGATTCATCCCCATGATTCAATAATCTCCCACCGGTTCCCTCCCACAACACATGGGAATTATGGGAGCTACAAGATGAGATATGGGGAGGGGGGGGGGACACAGGGCCAAACCATATCACCAACCAAAACTAATTATCTGATTCTCTAACCAAGGAGAGTTATTGAGCTTTAAACATTAAAACAGATCAGATTCACATTTAATATTGCCATAGGAACCTTTGTATTAAAGTAGCAATTTGAGTACATTTAGTGCTATCATATAAGAACAATACTTTCATAGGTGATGTTTACTTCTGCCCTTTTTATGAGTGACCCTCACCCAAGTGCAGTGGTCTTACTGCTGCCATCTGCAATGAGGGGAACGAGTTCTGGAGGGTTCAATGCCTTGCCCTGTCTTATCTAAAAGGGCTGACAAACAGTGAAACTAACACAAAAAGGCAACATGCCTGTGGAAATTGACAACAATCCTTGACACACAAGCATGGGAAATGGGAGGGCAGGTGTGCTTTCAGCCTGTTCTTGGAGAACATTTAAACTATAAAAAGGGCCTTTGATAAAAACAGATCAATTTCAAGGCAAATCGACAAAAGTACTGACCATAAGATCCGTTAAGTTACAATTAGAACATAATTTGATTGTTAAAATCATATCTATTAAGATATGCTTATGTAAAACAAAAGAATCCCTTCCCTGGAGAAAAATTATCTAGCTAATTCTTAAAAAACAATTTAGAGATTACAAAAAGAATTCCAGCCAAACTTCTCAAAAAAAAAAAAAAAAAAAAAAGAATAGGTAGCTGCCATTGTGTGGAACTAAGGAGAATGAAGAGAACAAGTAATAATAAACTGAAAAGTCCTCCACAGAAGAAAACTTCTCTCCACCAAAATCAAATATTCATCAAGAATCTGCTAAACAAAAAAAAACCATCCAGAAGAAAACTGGTCTCTCCCTCAATAATTCAATATGGCAGAAGAGAGTGTGGGCTGGCAGCTGTTCCTCCCTTGCTGTGAAAACTGCCTATCCCTTCCACAGAGTCCTGCCCTATGACCAACATCTGAAATGGAAACAGCCCAGGAGGTCTCCAGGGCACTACCCTTTCACCAGAGTACCAGAACTCACAGAAACCCAAAGTTTGCTCTCCCCTTCAAGGCACTCAGCTGTGTGTGTGATGAGGTGTTATGTCTTCATCCTCAAAATACTGTCATTGTTCAGAACATTTTTGGAACTCCTCCTAGAATTACCTTCAATCTGTGAGCCACACACAAACATCAGTGTTACCATCTGAGATTCTGACGCCACCTCCCAATCAGGATTCTAAGACTGAGAGTGTCTTAAAAGTCACGTTGGTGGCCAGGTGTGGTGACTCATGCCTGTAATCCCAGCGCTTTGGGAGGCCAGGAGGTCAGGAGTTCGAGACCAGCCTGGCCAACATGCTGAAACCCTGTCTCTACTAAAAATACAAAAAAATTTGCTGGGCATGGTGACACATGCCTATAGTCCTAACTACTCAGGAGGCTGAGGCAGCAGAATCACTTCAACCCAGGAGGTGGAGGTTGCAGTGAGCCGAGATCGCACCACTGCACTCCAGCCTGGGCAACAGAGTGAGACTCCGTCTCAAAAAAATAAATAAAATAAAAAATAAAAGTCATGCTGGCTACTGTGAGCTTCATTTATGAGCCACTAATGATGGTGAAGAGACCAAGTGGCTCCCCCAAGCCCCACTCACACAGCTGGGCCCTCTCACCCGCCCGCCTGTAGGCTTACCTGCCCAGCTCAGTAGCACAGGACAGTCCCCAGCTGCATGTGGAAACACTGTTTCCATTTAGCCCTGGAGGACACTGCATCTTCCCGGCTTTCCTCCGACCTCACCTGGCTGTTCTGTGCTCCCTCATCATCTTCATCTGCACTGAAAATGCTGGCCCCACAGCTTCATCCTCAGCCCTATATCACTCCCTCAGCAATGCAGTCCCCTACCATGGCTACAAATACCTTCTACACTATGATGATTCCCAGCACCAGCTGTTCCTCTGGCCCCGACTCCTAACATTCCCTTCTTATCCTCTCCAGCGACACTGGCCTTTAGTCACTCCTACAATACTCCTTTGCCCATAGCTGCCTCAGACCCTTCCCCTGCCACCCTTGGCCTGTGATGCTCTGCTCAAAGATCTCAGCACAGGCTGTCCTTCGCTTCCTTCAGGTATCCACTCAAATACCCAAAAGAGCAGCTCCGCCCAACACTCTCTAGCCTGCTCCTCATGCCACTCCATTTTTATTTGCATTACTATATGATATATGCCATTATATTTGTTTACTATCAAGTCTCCTCACCTGAATATAAGTTCCATAGGGAAAGAACTCTGTCTTGCTCACTCCTGAGCCTGACAACTATAACAAATGGGGCTGGTCCACTCCCTGCATTCTGACCCACCCGAGTGCTGGGAGCTCAACAACAATGGTAATAAACAGGCCGGCCCACTCCCTGCAGACTAACTCTCATGAGTGTACTCCAAGCTGAAGCGCACCCTCCCACGGCACCATCCCCAGCCAGGGCAGGTTCAGCACGCTGGCTCGGCAGCATTGTCTGAAGAGGGGACACAAAGCTCCCTCACTGTATTCTGTGGAAGACAAAAAAGAAACACAACTGCTCTCTTACCAAGTCCTTACTTTCTTACCTAGTTAGGGATTTTTCTTTTTTTTTCTTTTTTTTTTTTTTTTTTTTGAGACCAAGTCTCCCTCTGTCCCCAGGCTGGAGTGCAGTGGTGTGATCTTGGCTCACTGCAACCTCCACATCCCAGGTTCAAGCGATTCTCCTGCCTCAGCCTCCTGAGTAGCTGGGACTACAGGCGCTCGCCACCACACCCAGCTAATTTTTGTATTTTTAGTAGAGACAGGGTTTCACCATGTTGGCCAGGCTGGTCTCGAACTCCTGACCTCAGGTGATCCACCTGCATCGCCCTCTCAAAGTGCTGGGATTACAAGCATGAGCTACCACACCCAGCAAGGGATTTTACAATGAAACAGTTTCAGAAGGTACAACTATGACTCTATTTGTAATATTCACCATGGGATACAGAAGAAGGAATGATCAGACTTGAGGACGTGAAATCTGGAAAGGCCCTCTGGAAGGTGGTTTCAAGCTGGATTTTGAAGGTATAGGAACATAAAGTATCTACCCATTTAAATGATTATGAGATGGAGTCATAAAACTTTATATAGTAGGCTATTTTATATTTCTGACTTTTTTCTTTCCAAAAAGATGCTATTCCCTCAACCTTCACAGTAAATTACAACTCCCTTATAATGGAATGTAACATCTTGGCTTCTTCCATTAGCTCATCTGTTTCTCAATTACACTCTGGCAACAGATTCCTCACTTCTCTCTTTCCAAAATCGCTTCTCAACTTTTTCAACATGATACTGTAGACAACAGATCACACACAGAGGAGAAGTGGAAAAGGTGTTACTTGGCCCAGCCAGGAATTTGCTCCTTTTCTAAAATATACTTGCATGGCAGATGGGTCAGCTCTGATACATATGCAGAGCCTGAATCACAACCAGATTAGTCCCACTTCCACACATGTCAAAATACATTAAAATAAGCAGATGTCAGTAACCATAACAGAAATACCACTGGCAAACAGAATTCTCAGAATTCCTCATCTATTAAAATGAAGGCAACACATAATTTTTACGTTTCAAATTAAACGTAGGTTTAATTTATAAATTCGGCATGGCACAGGAGAAAACACACAAGCTGAGGTAGAGGGTTTATAGTCAGGGGCCAGGATATGAATGCCAAATGGGGTACTGCCTAACTGACTGGCCTTGGCAAGTAAATCTTTCACATTCTCTGAGCCTGTTTCCTTGTCAATATAATACAAAGTACATCCATCTCAAAGAGTTTTATACAGCACATTGTATAATACATGTAAAACAAGTACAAATGTAATAATAACTATTAGGGCTCTCATTGGCTACTCTGCTTCCTTTGGCCATGCAGATTATCACATACTTATGGCCTGAAAGAATTACCTTTTCAAGAATTACCTTTTGGTTTGGTTTTCTGGGAAGTTCAGTTTATGGAGAATACGTTTTAAATATTAGAGTTTGTGTCAGCAAATATGTTTTTGTTTATTGTGATAACACAATGTGGGACAAAGCAATACTTACGTCCCTTACTTTAAATATATGTACATATGCCATTAGTCATGTATACTGAATTATTTGTGTATATTTAAAACAAAGACATATAAGCATTCTCTTCATCGCAAATTAGATCAGAAATCCTCCAGAGGTACCCAGATACAAATGCTGTCCCCACAAAGTCCACGAAGCCTCTCCCCTCCACAGCACTCTGTGGAAGCCCCTCTGCTTTGACTCACTCCTGGACAGCCCCTCCGCCCTCTGTCCACGCAGCTTTGCCCTGACACTGTGTCATTTCACTCCTACCTGCTGCCACTGCATACCTCGTGGGGCCCTCCCTCCGTGCTTGTCATCCCTAGCCTTCCTTCAATATGGCTTCTAGCACCACAATGCTACTGGTTCTGCTTTCTTCAAGGAGCCCAGACATCTGGACACTGGCTCTCGGGGCCTCTACTCAGTCCTCAGCCTCTTGGTCTTGTTTTCTGCTCCTTTTCCAGGCTCTCCCTTCACCAAGCAACTCCGAACCCCTCAGCAACTCTGCCTTCCCTTTCTATAGGCCAGGGGGAGTGTGCGGCGGCTCAGCCCCTCTATTCACTGCCACCCTCATGCTCTACCCTGAAGATGGAATCAATTCTGCTTCATATCATAGCTCAAAATAGAGCTCTCTCAGATTCACATTTTGAGTCTGTTTCTCTCCTGAAAAGCTCTCACCTTTCTGAGTCCAAACCCAACAAGGCAATGTGAGGAGTGTGAACAGAGGGACACGGTGATGAGGATGCCCAGGGTTGAGGCCAGAGGAGGTCAGATCATGGACCCTGACCAGAGCCCCTTCCGGTTTTCAGTGGGGATGTCAGTGGTGTAATCCGACTGTGAAAGATCAGTCTAACAAAACAGCGGGGAGAGAGAGGGCTGAATCAGAGCGACTAGGTCCAAAGCCGAGGGAACCACCAACAGATCCCCTGGTGACCCAACAAGAAATGCTCACAGTCTGGACCCAATCAGAGTCTGCAGGACACAGCAGACATTCTGGAAGTTACAACAGCCAGGAGCAAGAGGACGCATGGCCTGACTGGACCTCCACAGTGGGAGTGAAGGGAAAGGCCAGGCTTGGGGGAGGAGAGGGGATACCATCAGCCAGGATGTGCAAGAGAGAACACAGGGCGAGCCCCAGGGGAAACACGACATGTCCAGCTCTGGGAGTCACGAGGTGGCTGTGGGAGGTCCATGTGAAGGAAAGGCACAGGCACTGGATGTGCTAGCCCAGCGCTTGGGAGAAAGACTTGGGCTTGAGTTAGATACTTCAGTGCCACTGTAATAAAGAAAGCAGTGACAGTCATAGGTGTAGACGTGACTGCCCGGAGAACATGTAAGCTTGGAGAAGTGGCCTGCTGTGGACAGGACCCTGGGGCAAGACGCACCCTCAGGAAAGCAGGTGAGGGAGAAACAGAGGTGTGAAGTGCAGCAGAGAGGGAGCATGTGAAGTTGCCCACATTTCCTACATCCAGCACAAGCGCACACAGGGAAGGCCCACTACAAAGCCAGTGGACAGAACTCCCTAGGGCTTCAGCAGCAACGCCTCCTCTCCAGCTGCTCCCTGGCACTCAGGTGTCCGAGAGGACAAGGACGAGTGCTGCTGAGCTCTCTCCTCTCTGTTGGAAAACTAACCAATGATGTCTGGCAAAAATGACAGCTGCAGATGCTGCCTTTTCCAACGAGCTGTCTTCAGAGTCAGAGCCCTCTGAAACACACACACATTTTCCTGTATTTGACAGTTTAGCAAAGTGAAAAAGTTCCAATCTTTGGGGCTTAGATGTTCTTGGTATCTTTGACTTTTCTTCTCTATGCTATAAAACTTTTGGATTACACCCAAATCAATTCTACTTTCACAATGCTAAACAATGACAAAACACACTAAGATTGGAGTATAGCAATGAACAGTCATTAAATCTGTGAGAGTGAGAAGTTTCCCTTGTTCTACAACACTAGCGGTGCACCTGGTCCTTACGAGGCTCTAAGTGTTTGGTGAATACATGAATGAGCCCATGAGTGAGTGAATGAAAGAACGTGTGTGTCCCCAGCTGTCCGCTGCCACGGCTCTGCATGGGTAAGCCAAGCATGGTGCTCTGGAATCAGAAAAAGCAGGGTTTGATCCTGGCTCCCCTGTCTACTAGCTCTTTGACCACAGAAGAGCCACCTTTCTAATGCTGCTGCCCAGTGTGACGGGGGGCTGACGCTGCCCACTTCCCATTGCAGCTGTACTGCCGAGCCAGCTGTGTGGTGGGCCCATGGCGGGGTGTTCCATTCACAGAGCTACAGGGACAGCCTAGAGGAGCCCAAGGCTCCCCTTGAGAACTGTCAACAATGCTACCATCTCAGAGTGAAACTAGGAAAACCCACAGACTTAGAATGTACATAATTAGAAATCTTGGAAAATAAATTAGAAATCCAACCAGTAACATATGAAGAGTCCTGAATTACCCAAAACTCTAATCAAAATGACCCTGCTGTAATCTTCAGAAGGCCAGACCAAAACACCTTCGTTCATGTGATAAATGCAGATCAAACACTGCTGCTTCCCCAGCTCTGGGTCACAACTGAGCACAGGGCAATGACCAGGACTTGGTCTCTGCCTTCTCCCTCACAGGGGACAGACAAACTGTGCTGGTGGCGTCCTGGGGGGAAGGCCCTGTGAAATGAAGGGGCACCTGGCAGTCTGGGGGAGGGTGTGGAGGACAGCACAGGAAGGGGTCATCAGTAGAGCTGGCACTGTGCTGGGGGAGGGTGACACCTGGGCATCTCGGGGCTCATCTGCATCCAGCTCCCCACTTCCTTCCACTTTGCTCGATTCCCAACCTTTCGGGGCAACCTCGTGATGAGTAGTTTCGTTTGCTAAGTCGTTGGAAACTAGGAAGAAGTCATCTTGTCTGCATGGGACAAGAGCATCCCAGTCACTAGTGAAGACAGCCTCGAGGCCAAGCCATCGACGGGCTTCTGCTCCATGAGCCTCTGTGAGTGAGCAGGGCCCGAGGCAGCCTTTCATGACCAAGACCACTGTGGCGCTCTCACAGGGGGAGGAGGCCAGACCACAGGCCCAGCAGGATCTCTTACCAGACTGCCAGCATCCTGCCTTCCCCTGGAAAACAGCACAGCTACATCATCTCGCCCTTTCAACCTACAACTATTCAATTTAGCACTTAAATTTGAAACAATAAAAAAATCAGTCAGTTGCCATGCACTGGCTGACTCCTCTGAAGACATCAGCAAATCTACACGTTGGGTGATTATCTTGGGAGCAATGGTTCCTAAACCTTTTTTTGAGTTTCAGCCCTTTTTCTTTTTCTCTTTTTTTTTTTGAGACGGAGTCTCGCTCTGTCGCCCAGGCTGGAATGCAGTGGTGCGATCTCGGATCACCGCAAGCTCCACCTCCCGGGTTCACACCATTCTCCTGCCTCAGCCTCCCAAGTAGCTGGGACTACAGGCACCCGCCACCACGCCTAGCTAATTTTTTATATTTTTAGTAGAGACAGGGTTTCACCATGTTAGCCAGGATGGTCTCGATCTCCTGACCTTGTGATCCGCCCGCCTCGGCCTCCCAAAGTGCTGGGATTACAGGCTTGAGCCACTGCGCCCAGCCCTAAGCACTTTTTCAATTCTGGTAAAAGCTGTGGCCTAGTCCTCCCCGACCCCAACATCCACGACGCACACTGAGACCACAGGGCACACAGGGCCGCCCTCCATGGGGAGCAGCTGTCCTCGAGGCTGATCTTGCTTTTCCTTCCTCTGAGACGGCTTCCTCTCGGCTCAGCCTCCTTGGGACGGGGGTGCCGTCAACCCAGCTGCTTCCTCTTCTCTCCCGATGAAGGGATGGCTCAAAAGTGCCAGCAGCACGAGCCATGGCAGACACACAGCTCAGGGCCTCAGGCTCTGCTTCCTTCCACTCCCAGGCCTGACAGAACCCACAGGGCTCACCGCATGCGCACAGGCAACCAGGGCACAGGAGCAGCAGGGCCTTCCCTCCCCTCCTGCTGCTCACGCAGCTCCTGCTGTGCTTTTCAGGCAGCTCCTTCATGTCTTATTCCCATTTTAAGAAATGGAACTCAAAATGTTTGGACCTCCGGGATTTGGAATTCCTCAAATGTTACAGGATATTTATATCACAGTTCTGATAACAGGTGCACTAAGTCAGCCACAAAAGTTACAGAATATGAAAACACGACGCTCCACTGGGCTGCATGAGCATGCTCGCCTTTCGAGGTGACGCAGCCTCATCCCTTCATGCTGAAAGGGCAATTTATTTTGAAGCCTGCACATCTCCGTGGAAAAATTCATAAACCTGTCACAGAGAATTACACCCGCCACCTAAGCTTTCAGACTCCCTTTAAAAACTTGAGAAGACACTGTAGCTCTTCAATTGCAAGAAGTGGGGAGCTGATACCTAACACTGTGGGACAAACTGCCGGCCTGATTCTTTCCAGAAGGAGAGGATGATAAAAATAACTTACACTTGACTAGCAATTCACCACTTACAAACTACTTTCACACATATTACTGCATTTTTACTTTGGGAGGAAAGTCTTTAGCCCAAAAGAAAATGAAACACACTACTGTTGAGTAATCCTGCCAAATAAATAGGAAGTGCATCTTAACAAACCCAGCTGGACAACAGCGTGAGCTAATGTTAGGATCCCACTATAGACTAAAAAACTCCTAAAGGTAGCTTTCTTCCTATTTATAGTTAAAAGAATAGCCAAGATTAGTGCACACTAAAAGACAGTGGTAAGTGCTAAGGATATTTAAAATATCATTCAAAAGTCGGCCAGGCGCAGTGGCTCATGCCTGTAATCCCAACACTCTGGGAGGCTGGGGCGGGTGGCTCACTGAGGCTAGGAGTTTGAGATCAGCCTGGCCAACATGGCGAAACCCCATCTCTACTGAAAATACAAAAATTAGCTGGGTGTGGTGGCGTGCGCCTGTAGTCCCAGCTACTCAGGAGGCTGAGGCAGGAGAATCCCTTGAACTTGGGAGGCAGAGGTTGCAGTAAGCCAAGATCGCGCAACTGCACGCCAGCCTGGATGACAGAGCAAGATTTTGTCTCCAAAAAAAAAAAAAAAAAAAGTCATTTCCAAATTCTCATATTCAACAGTATGTAATGATATCAATCTCAGATGTGAGGCCATCTTCCTGGGCCAAGACATCAGTGACTTCAATTTCTAAGTGGAAAATAAGTCAATGGTTTCCTATTTGTTTTGTGAGTTCCTAATTGTCTGCAAGCCTTAAACTTGTCTATAAACCATGAATTTAAGTCATTTCCACCTCTTACTAGTCATTACTAGTGGTTACACAGAGCCTCTACACTACTAAGCCTCAGTGTCCCCACATATAAACTATGTCTGGCATAAAGATTACACCAAATCCCATAAGGAAAGGCTCTAGTCCAGCAGCTGTCACATAGTAAATGCACAAGTCAACGTGCTATATTCACGTTTGCTTCCATTGCTGTTCATGACAAAGGCGCCAGTCATGTACAGTCTACACAACACTATATAGAAGGCAACCCTCCACTACCACATCACATTGATGAAAAGCTTGCCTTGGTAACACTAAGCATTTTAAAGGATGACACAGTTATAATCTTCTGTATTCCTACAAATACGCTGCAAAATCTTGAAAAATTAAATTTGTCTAAAGGTCTTAAAACATGCAAAGTGAAGTGAAACATGGCGAATTTCAGTTTTTAAAAACTTTCACTGAACATTATTTGAAGCCAAATTAATGCTTTAGTTATGCTCACAGACATCCTCAATTCCCAATTTCACTTATTATTAATAACAGCTATCATTATTAAAGAAATTATTCAGCTAAACCATGTGAAATTGTCATTTTCATTGGTCTAAAGTGGATAAACACTGGCAATTTCATGTGGTTCAACCTAAGCCTATCACCAGTGCCTGTGCTGGGTACTCTATGTAGGTCAACGAATTTAATTCTCGTAATTGCTCTGAAGTGATGTCAGCGACACCATTCTTCAGGTGGTCAAGGAGCTTGCCCCAAACCCACAGCTGACATGCAGGTTGGCACTCCACCACCCCATCCCTCGACCTCCACTTCTCAACCACATGCAGGGGGCTCTGTTCACCTCTTTATTTGCATTTGGTGTCTTCACATTTTAAGAAAACCAAAGCAAGTAAGTTGGTGCTGGCAGGATATGTTTTTAAGAAAATGAAGATGTTACCTCCAATTATCACGCCTTCTTTATTTCCCTTTATTCTGCATATCAATAAATCTGGAATTGACTTAGGACACTTAGTGACTGTATTACTACAGAAACAGTCAAAATACTTCAACTGGAAGTACAAAATACTTCAGCTAAAAGTACAAAACTTCAGCTCAAAGTGGCTTAAACGTAATCACATTTATTATTTCTTAAAACGAGAAGTCCAGGGCTGGATCCAATGTCTCAATTATGTTATGGAAGGCCTGGGTTATTTTCTCTGCCTGCCCCAACAGCATCAACTGTAAGGCTGGCATTCGGGGCCACAGGCTTCCTCATTCAACTCCAGTGAAGAAGTCTCTCCCCCATCCCTTGGATCTGGATGTAGCTACTCAGGTCATGTGCCCACCTCTGGACTGTCAGGCCTCTGAGCCCAAGCTAAGCCATCATATCCCCTGTGACCTGCACGTATACACCCAGATGGCCTGAAGCAACTGAAGATCCACAAAAGAAGTGAAAATAGCCAGGTCCTGCCTTAGCTGATGACATTCCACCATTGTGATCTGTTCCTGCCCCACCCTAACTGATCAACTGACCTTATGACAATACACCCTCCCTGCCCTTGCGATAATGGACTCTGTGATATTCCCCTGCCCTTAAGAAGGTACTTCATAATATTCTCCCCGCCCTTGAGAATGTACTTTGTGAGATCTACTCCCTGCCCACAAAAAATTGCTTCTAACTCCACCGCCTATCCCAAACCTATAAGAACTAATGATAATCCCACCACCCTTTGCTGACTCCTTTTTTGGACTCGGCCTGCCTGCACCTTGTTGCTCACACAAAGCCTGTTTGGTGGACTCTCTTCACACGAACGTGCGTCACATGGACCATGCACTGTTGGCAGAAGGATGCCCTGCACTGACCACCTTATGCCTTGAGCCCTAAACCCATCACCGGCACACAGTAAGATGGCTAGGGCTGGCTCAGACCATCCATTTTCAACCCTGTCTCACATTAGGATCCTTCAGAGAGACTTACAAATCCTGATGCCTGGGCCCTGCTCCATACTCCTGCCCAATTAATACAATCTCTAGGGATGAGATTCCCTAGAGATGTGTGTGTGTGTGTGCATTCTCTTTTTTTCTCTCTCTCTATGAAACTCCCTTCTCTTTCCCTGAGTCATATGATCCACGAAAGGGAGGATGGAGCCCGGAATAAAGTTGGGGTTCTGTTAGAAATGAAGAAAGGGAAAAAGGGTGCAGAACAAGCCATCCATGGTGTCCATTCTACACAGACACAACCAAATCAATCATGAAGAAAGGCAACATAGGTCCTTCTCCATGCTGCGACGAGCTCGGCACTGTACCACCCTCATCGCTCTCTCATGGATGGCTCTGTGTTGCACAACACACAGGTGATAACCTTAGCATGCTGTCACTGACACAACTATAAGAAAGCCTCTGAAGGGTCCTACAGCCCCACAGAATGTAAGCAGAGGTCTCCTACACAGCCTCCCAGGTTAGATGGGGCTAGGGCGCCTACCCTGTGCTGTTTCTGGGCTGAAGCTGTGTGGCTGTCCAGGGCCATGGCTGTCTGCTCCACCCAGGTCTCTGTGGCCTGGCAGGGCACTCTGGCTTAGGAGGGGCATGAGCCAGAAGAGAAGACTAGTTGTGTACCTTCCAGCCCGGCCAGGACCGCCTCTGGGATGTCAGGACTTTGACAGGGCCCAGGATGTCCAAGTTTTTCTTAACAATTTCAGCACTTACACAAATGGTATATTTGTATCCAAGAAACATAACCCACAAATATTTGACAAATGCTAACTCCCCAATTTTCATCTCCTAAAGGGTTTCTTTTGACATCTGAATAGAAAGGGTTTCCAAGACATTATGTAACTAAGATTGTCATCAGTTGACTGTATGCACAGCTGGGAGGCTTACAAATCATATGGAAGATTTCATTAGCTGCGGTTTTCTAATCTCACAACAACAATCCTAAACACCCAGATCCTTCATCAATGAGTTAATGAAGAACATTCGACGACATCTTTTCTTAAAGAATAATGAAGAATTCATGCAGAGTTATTATAAAAATTATTCCAATATTTGTGGCTTACAGTAAAACAAACAACAAAAATGGAGCAAGCATTATATTTTAGTAGCCTACTTTGATGCCACAGATGCCACCGTCTAAAGATGAACTGCAGGGGACGGTGAACTCCTAGCCCAAGAAAATATGAAGAAAGCCACAGTGTATTTTGAAGTAAAATAGTTAATTCTTGTTCTTATTTTTCATTTTAGACTGAAATCCTGAAAATTAGAATCTGATTACCCTTAATACAGACACACAAAACTCTCCTTTCACCAACAAATCCCCAAAGCAGCATCAACCTTACTACCCGCCCCTCTTTCTTCTCTGCTCATTCCTCCTAAGCCACCCTTGTGCCTGACCCTGTGCTCTATGGGAACCTTTTCAGAGTTCATCAATAACTCTCTGTTGCCAAATGCTTCTCTTCACTCTTGTTTTCTTTGAGTTCCGACTCTAACAGCCATTGTATTCTTCTCAAAGAAATGGTTTCTGTCCCTCTTTTTAAAATGTATAAAGCATTTCCAATTGCTGTTCCACTCAATTCTCACAGCCACCCTGTTCCAAACAGACAGGAACAGTGTTTATATCTCTATTTTGTGGATGACAGAATATCATGGAAGTGAAGGGACTCACCCAGAATCACAAACCAGAATACAGGAGGAGAGGGGCCAGCCTGCTTTCTGATGCCTCGACCTGTCTCCTAGCTCAGGGCTCTCATGAGCCCTACATCCCTCTGCTCAGGCCTCTCGGCCAGCCTCCCCGTGTCATGTTCCCTACACTGCCAGTCTTTCTGTTTGTCACCTTTTTCAGAATGACTCCCAAACCCATGTCACTAGCAAGTTTCTTGTGAACTCTAAGCTTCTTGTCTCCAACTACTTCTTGGACATTTCCATTTGGATTTTTTTTACTATGTCAGACTGACCATGTCACACACCAAATTCATCTTCATGTAAACTCACTCCCCTTTCTCAATGTGCCTATGAGTTAATTGTATCCTGACCAGACTACACTAAAGTTTCTATTGCGCTCAGCTTGTCAGACTGGACATATGCAGGCCAAATGTTTTTTGACATCCTTTGACGTACGAAGTGGCCATTTGACCACTCAATTATATCAACAGTGAAAAATCAAACATTTACATTATGTTTCTTGTTAAAGTTATCATGTAAGCATTGATTAATCAAAGAAAACAGTCCCAGCATTCTCTTGTGGAAAGGCTGACACCTTTGTTCTATTGGACATTCTGAAGGAGAAGTTTCAAGTCAATAATGTTTGAGACATTTTTTAAAAGATAAAAACCACATTTTGTAGTAGCTCACGTTATTAGCCCCGTGTTTACACTAAAAGGCTCAACACTGGGCTAACGCAAAACTATCAAGAGAAACACTTGACCAACATAATAAAACATTCACATGTAAAATTCTTTGTCGGTGAAGATCTTAAATATTTTGCTTTTCTATCAAATGGCCATCCACAGCTCACATAATAAAGAAGTTGCTTACTAGAATCATAACATATACAGTATTCTGACAATGCCACATATTTGGGTTGAAAAGAATTATGAAGACACATCACTGAATATTCACTAGTTACTAAACCCTCTGGCCTTTCTCTGTGTTACGTGATATAGCCAAATGCCAGACACTGAAGGGAATCAGATGCCATATCAGAAGGCAACTGGTGCCATGGAAAAGATGTGGAATCAAAGTTGGGGGAGTGGGCACACTGCCCTCAAGGGAAGGAAGATGATGCTTAAGTTAGCTTAAGAAAGGTAAAAGGCAGCCGGACGCAGTGGTTCACGCCTGTAATCCCAGCACTTTGGGAAGACGAGGCGGGCGGATCACGAGGTCAGGAGATCGAGACCATCCTGGCTAACACGGTGAAACCCTGTCTCTACTAAAAATACGAAAAATTAGCCGGGCGTGGTGGCAGGTGCCTGTAGTCCCAGCTACTTGGGAGGCTGAGGCAGAAGAATGGCGTGAACCTGGGAGGCAGGGCTTGCAGTGAGCCAAGATCACGCCTCTGAACTCCAGCCTGGGTGGCAGAGTGAGACTCTGTCTCAAAAAAAAAAAAAGAAAGAAAAGAAAGAAGGATAAAAGGAGTCACTTATGAAAGATGCTGGGATAACTCAAAATCTGAGGAAAAGCTATACAGCCCACCTGGACAGGGATAAAGCTGACTGCAAGCCATAGGGCTCCTCTGCATCTCAGGTCAGCATTTATGTCTTGGCTTCAGCAACTGACAACACAGATAAATTTTCTCCAGGTGGCCAGGAACACGGCCACAGGCAGCTCTAGAGTCACATCCAATAGTTTCACGGCCCAAGAAAGGCAAAAAAAACACTGTTCTTCAGCAGCTGAAGCCAGAAAACTCCTGGAGAAAGACTATGGCCCAGCTCAGAGCACACACCCACCACTAAAATCACTGCTGTGGCCACAGCCATATAGCTGGCACTGCCAAGTCTCACCTTAGCCAGTGGTCAGAAGGGTCTGTGCTGCGGGAGATGAGGGCCTGCTGAGGGAGATGAGGGCCTGCTGAGGGGCCCTGCTGTGGGGGATGAGGGCCTGCTGTGGGGAATGAGGCCCTGCTGTGGGAGATGAGGGCCTGCCGTGGGGGATGAGGGTCTGCTGTGGGAGATGAGGGCCTGCTGTGGGGGATGAGGGCCTGCTGTGGGAGATGAGTGCCTGCTGTGGGGGATGAGGGCCTGCTGAGGGGCCCTGTTGTGGGGGATGAGGGCCTGCTGTGGGAGATGAGGGCCTGCTGTGGGAGATGAGGGCCTGCTGTGGGGAATGAGGCCCTGCTGTGGGGGATGAGGGCCTGCTGTGGGGAATGAGGCCCTGCTGTGGGGGATGAGGGCCTGCTGTGGGAGATGAGGGCCTGCTGTGGGGGATGAGGGCCTGCTGTGGGGGATGAGGGCCTGCTGAGGGAGATGAGTGCCTGCTGAGGGGGATGAAGGCCTGCTGAGGGGGATGAAGACCTGCTGTGGGAGATAAGGGCCTGTTGCGGGAGATGAGGGCCGGCTGAGGGAGATGAAGACCTGCTGTGGGGGATGAGGGCCTGGTGAGGGGGATGAGGGCCTGCTGCAGGAGATGAGGGCCTGTTGCGGGAGATGAGTACCTGTTGAGGGAGATGAGGGCCGGCTGAGGGAGATGAAGGGCCTGCTGAGGGAGATGAAGGGCCTGCTGAGGGAGATGAAGGGCCTGCTGAGGGAGATGAGGACCTGCTGAGGGAGATGAGGACCTGCTGAGGGAGATGAAGGCCTGCTGAAGGAGATGAAGGCCTGCTGAGGGAGATGAAGGGCCTGCTGAGGGAGATGAAGGGCCTGCTGAGGGAGATGAGGACCTGCTGAGGGAGATGAGGACCTGCTGAGGGAGATGAGGACCTGCTGAGGGAGATGAAGGCCTGCTGAAGGAGATGAAGGCCTGCTGAGGGAGATGAAGGGCCTGCTGAGGGAGATGAAGATCTGCTGTGGGGGATGAGGGCCTGGTGAGGGGGATGAGGGCCTGCTGCGGGAGATGAGTACCTGTTGAGGGAGATGAGGGCCAGCTGAGGGAGATGAAGGGCCTGCTGAGGGAGATGAAGGGCCTGCTGAGGGAGATGAGGACCTGCTGAGGGAGATGAAGGCCTGCTGAGGGAGATGAAGGCCTGCTGAGGGAGATGAGGACCTGCTGAGAGAGATGAAGGGCCTGAGGGAGATGAAGGGCCTGCTGAGGGAGATGAGGACCTGCTGAGGGAGATGAGGACCTGCTGAGGGAGATGAAGGCCTGCTGAAGGAGATGAAGGCCTGCTGAGGGAGATGAAGGGCCTGCTGAGGGAGATGAAGGGCCTGCTGAGGGAGATGAGGACCTGCTGAGGGAGATGAGGACCTGCTGAGGGAGATGAGGACCTGCTGAGGGAGATGAAGGCCTGCTGAAGGAGATGAAGGCCTGCTGAGGGAGATGAAGGGCCTGCTGAGGGAGATGAAGACCTGCTGTGGGGGATGAGGGCCTGGTGAGGGGGATGAGGGCCTGCTGCGGGAGATGAGTACCTGTTGAGGGAGATGAGGGCCAGCTGAGGGAGATGAAGGGCCTGCTGAGGGAGATGAAGGGCCTGCTGAGGGAGATGAGGACCTGCTGAGGGAGATGAAGGCCTGCTGAGGGAGATGAAGGCCTGCTGAGGGAGATGAGGACCTGCTGAGAGAGATGAAGGGCCTGAGGGAGATGAAGGGCCTGCTGAGGGAGATGAGGACCTGCTGAGGGAGATGAAGACCTGCTGAGGGAGATGAGGACCTCCTGAGGGAGATGAAGGGACTGCTGAGGGAGATGAAGACCTGCTGAGGGAGATGAAGGACCTGCTGAGGGAGATGAGGACCTGCTGAGAGAGATGAAGGGCCTGCTGAGGGAGATATGAAAACCTGCTAAGGGAGATGAGGACCTGCCGAGGGAGATGAAGGGCCTGCTGAGGGAGATGAAGGGCCTGCTGAGGGAGATGAGGACCTGCTGAGAGAGATGAAGGGCCTGCTGAGGGAGATGAGGACCTGCCGAAGGAGATGAAGGGCCTGCTGAGGGAGATGAAGACCTGCTGAGGGAGATGAAGACCTGCTGAGGGAGATGAAGGGCCTGCTGAGGGAGATGAAGACCTGCTAAGGGAGATGAGGACCTGCCGAAGGAGATGAAGGGCCTGCTGAGGGAGATGAAGGGCCTGCTGAGGGAGATGAAGACCTGCTAAGGGAGATGAGGACCTGCCGAAGGAGATGAAGGGCCTGCTGAGGGAGATGAAGGGCCTGCTGAGGGAGATGAAGACCTGCTAAGGGGGATAAGGACCTGCCGAAGGAGATGAAGGGCCTGCCGAGGGAGATGAAGGGCCTGCTGAGGGAGATGAGGACCTGCTGAGGGAGATGAAGGGCCTGCTGAGGGACATGAAGACCTGATGAGGGAGATGAGGGAGTCCCAATATCTGCAGTCCATGCACTGGAGACTCTGGACAGCCAATGTGTAGTGCCAGTGTGAAAGCCAGCAGGCTCGAGACCCAAGAGCTGGTGTTTCAGTTTGAGTTCAAAGGCAGGAAAAGGCCCACATCCCAGCTCAAACAGTCAAGGCAGAGATCCCTTTTATTCAGCCTTTTTATTCTGTTGGGGCTCCAACTGACTGGATGAGAGCCACCCAACTGGCTGAAGGCAATCTGCTGTACTCAGTCTCCTGGTTCAAATGTTAATCTTATCCAGAAACATCCTCATAGACATACCCAGAGTTAATGTTTGGCCAAATGTCTGGGCATCTCATGGTCCAATCAAGTTGATATAAAAATTAACTCTCTTAGGGACCACCTAGGTGGCTTGAATAAAAGCTTCAAACCTGCATGAAAACCAGCCTACTAATTCTCAGAAGAGATTTTCCCCCCACTACACTCAATGCCAAAGGTCAAAACAATTTTCCTTAAAAAACTTTCGGATTAAGCGAGTATCTTCAGTTTACCCCGACACTGCTGGGAAAGACCCTTGGGAGTTTCCTCTCAGGATGCTCACCTGAGGTGGGACCGGGGCTTTGTCTCCTATCCCCCACACCCTGGGAGCCATGGAAACTAAAGGACAAGTTTGAAAAATACCCTCAAAGCAAGAAGTTAAGTTCTCTGTTAACCTCTCTGTCCTCCCACTTTCACTTGACTTTCATGCTCTAGGTATAATTTTATTTAATTATTTATTTATTTATTTATTTATTTTGCGGCCAGGAACAGTGGCCCACACCTGTAATCCCAGCACTTTCGGAAGCCAAGGCAGGAAGATCACTTGAGACCAGGAGTTCAAGACCAGCCTGGGCAACATAGTGAAACCTCATCTCTACAAAAAAATGTTGTAAAAACTAGCCAAGTATGGTGGTGCATGCCTGTAGTCCTAGCTACTCAGGAGGCTGGAGCAGGAGGATCCCATGAGCCCAGGAATTCGATTTACAGTCAGCTAGCATCACTCCACTACAGTCCAGCCTAGGTGACACTGCAAGACACTGTATCAAATAAGTAAGTAAAATGTTTTTTTGTGTCTCACTCCGCATTTTGACTGTTCAGTAAGGAGAGGTGGTCAGGGATTTTTCCATCATACCCCTGGCTCCCAGTTCATGGCCTGGAAGGATGGAACATAGGGAGACCTATAGGAAGCTCTCAACCCAAGGTGATGGTGGCTCAAAACTGGGTGGGAAAATTAGCTGGGCGTGGTGATGGGCGCCTGTAATCCCAGCTACTGGGAGGCTGAGACAGGGGAATCGCTTGAACCCAGGAGGCAGAGGGTTGCAATGAGCCAAGACTGTGCCACTGCACTCCAGCCTGGGCAACTGACCAAGACTCTGTCTCAAAAAAAAAAAAAACACCTAGGTGGGAGTGCTAGCTGGTGATCAGATTCTGGAGATGTTTTGAAAGTAGAGCCATCAGGATTTCCTAACAGACTGAATGAGGGCGTAAGAGATTAAAAGGAGTCAAGGAGTCAAGAATCACTCGAAGGTTTTTTAAAAGTCTGAGACACTAGAAAAATAGAATTGTAATCAATAGAAATTAGAATTTGGTGTGAGGGAAGATTAGGGGTTTAGTCTGAACACATTGAATGTGAATGTTTATTAGATGTCCATGTGGAGATATCAAGTAGACAGCTCAATCTATGAGGCTAGAGCTCGGGACAGAGGTCTGGGCTGAAGGCACAAATCTGGAGAACCTGATCAATGCTTTGTGTTACTCAGACAAGCCAAATAGATGTAAGATGGAAATAACCGCCTATCTGCCCTTTTAGCATTGAAAACATGGTAGGAAATGCAGTTTCCTGTGATCACAATACTAGTCTGCATTAACAGTTACGTAACATGTGGCCACCATCTCAATACACTCTGTCCTCGTCGGCTATTTGCTCGAGTTCTATGCCAGTTCTGTGGCTTAAGAGGAATGTGAAGAATGTGGACAAAGCCTGGGAAAAAGCCAGCCATGTAGCTGAACGAAGGGAAGACAAATGAAATCTAGCAAACGTTAAAGGAAATGAGATGATTTAGTCAGGGATGATTAATAGCAACTGGTCTCGTACTCTGAATCAGGGAAGTCTAGATACTTGAAAGTAACCTGCCACCTTTACAGCAAGCAAACAAAAGAAAATGAGTTTTCATTGCAGCATGAGATTTTTTTTTTCATTTCAAGTCTTTTATCCCTAAAGCATGAGATATTTAGACTAGAAATAAAAGAGGAAAACTAGCACCTATTTAACACCTACTACATTAGGTGTTGGCCTAAACACTATTGCATTTTAATATACATTAAGATCCTTGAGGTAGAAATTCTCATTTTATACATCAGAAAAGCAGGATTCTAAAAGGTTAGGTAAGTTCACAAGCAGGAAAGCTGCAATTCAAATCTGGGTTGAATGAGTCCAAAGCTCGTGTACTTATTAAAATACATCAAATTTCTTAACAGAAATTGATAAAAGTAGGAACTGATTACTGAAAGGGATAATGAGATCTTTTTTTTCCTCGATCTTATTTTTTTTTTTAATGAAGTTTCACTCTTGTTGCCCAGACTGAAGTGCAGTGGCACGATCTTGGCTCACTGCAACCTCTGCCTCCTGGGTTCAAACAATTCTCCTTTTCCTCGATCTTTTAAAAATTAGAAGAGCTTCTTATCTGTCCAGTATATTTTCATAAACTAGATCTACCTAAAACCAAAGGAATAGAAGAAGCCAGTTTTCAAATTATCTCTTAGTCCTAAGCAGTTATGATTCTAGATTCTGAAAACAGTCTAAATTCTGAAAACAGTCCCACTACCACCAGCACCACGAACTATTTTTGTTCCTATTTTCCTATTCTATAGTAAACTATATATTCACCTTCTAAAACACATATGAAATTCTATAATTTAAGATTTAAAGTAATCCCATACATAACTCAGGAGTCAAACATCCTAGGCTTAAACAGATCTTGTTTTGTTTGACTTTAGAACAAATGATTCTAAAGATTCTAAAGTAAGATGACCTTGCAATGGATTTATGAGGGGTTGGGCTGTGCTCACTGTGTTGAAAGAACCAGTAATTATTTTCACGGATAAGAAAGCCTGGGATGGCCAGGCACGGTAGCTTACGCCTATAATCCCAGCACTTTGGGAGGCTGAGGCGGGCAGATCACCTGAGGGCGGGAGTTCGAGACCAACCTGACCAACATGGAGAAACCGCATCTCTATTAAAAATACAAAATTAGCCGGGCGTGGTGGTACATGCCTGTAATCCCAGCTACTCAGGAGGCTGAGGCAGGAGAATCGCTTGAAGCCGGGAGGCGGAGGTTGTGGTGAGCAGAGATCACACCATTGCACTCCAACCTGGACAACAAAAGCGAAATTCTGTCTCAAAAAAAAAAAAAAAAAAAAAGGAAAGCCTGGGATGATGTCCCAGAAGCAAAAAAAAATTGCATTAACACAACTTAACAAGCACCTCATATTATCCATAAGCCAAAGCTTAAGCAGGAAAAGTCCACCTGAGTCAAAGAACACACTCTCTGATGAGTGGCAGAAACTTGGGTTGCTTGCTACTGACAGAACTGCATAAATTAAGATGAAACTCATTACAATTTTCACTCACCCCCGGAAACTTCCGGAGGACCAGAGCTAAAAGGGCCATAGAGAACATTTAGGCTAAACTCCTCTTTTTATGAGAAAGTAGGATTACTGGCTGCAAATTAGCCTAAGTAGAGACTGGCATATTGTTTCAGGGCAACTGACCCAGAAGCCAAGCAAAGCCAGACCTAATGTCAACTAAATGTGAGAAGTCATCCAGTACTGGCCCGGCACGGTGGCTCACGCCTGTAATCCCGGCACTCCGAGAGGCCGAGGCGGGTGGATCACCTGAGGTCAGGAGTTTGAGACCAGCCTGGCCAACATGGTGAAACCTTGTCTCAACTAAAATTACAAATATTAGCCAGGTGTAGTGGCAGGCACCTGTAATTCCAGCTACTTGGGAGGCTGAGGCAGGAGAATCGCTTGAACCCAGGAGGCGGAAGTTGCAGTGAACCAAGATTGCATCACTGCACTCCAGCCTGGGCAACAAGAGTGAAACTCCATCTCAAAAATAAATAAATAAATAAATAAGAAGTCATCCAGCACTAAGGCTTCCACCCGAGACATGTCCTGCTGAGCAGCAGTCCTGTAGCGTTGTTGGGAAACAGGGTCTGGAGCCAGGCGGTCGGGGTCTCAAATCTCAGCTCCACCACCCCATAACTATATAACCTTGGCACCTTACTCACTTCCATGCCTCAGTTTCTTCATCTATGATACAGAAACAGTATTTACCTTACAGGGTACTGACAGACATAAATGTAACAAACGTAACACACTTAAAGCCATGACTGGTACTCAAGAAGTATTAGGTATTCTTATTTAATTATTCTCTCCCTGGCACCACCAGCATCCTCTCCCACAGACTGACACTGTCCGCTTGCTCACGGCCCGTAACAACCAGCCTGAATAGTTACCTTACAGGTCAGGTCTAGGAACCACCTCTGATTCTATGATTCTTGAGAGGAAAAAAGCTGTCTGGTCAAGTATCCAACCCTGGTGGGTAAGTGTTGTCAATGGAGTACAAGCATAGCCCCCTGGACCTGCCCTCAAACTGTGGAGGGTCTAGGGCTTTACCCTACTTGCAAGCTTGCAAGCTAACAAGCTAGCATGCTAGAGTCTTACAGACACTGGCAGAAGACACAAACTCTTGAGTCTGAGACCAAGAACTTGTTATAGCAACAGCCATAGCCAGAGCATTTATGCCAGTTTAAGACCCAATTCCACAAGGCCACATACATGCTGTGTGGGCTGTGTCACAGGAGAGGAACCCCAAGCTCTGGCTGAACTTTGCCCTAGAGGGAAACATTATCTTTACTACATAAGGGTAAACAAACCTACCCTTTTTGCTCTGGAAGGAGACAGTATCTCTGTCCTCTAAGGATGTCTGCTATACACACATCCTTGAAAAGCTAGCCAGAAACAAAGGAGGTCAGTTCCTCTGCTCTTAACACATGAAGAAACAGGAGTGACCCTTGTGTCTCGACAATATCTAAATAAATGAAGACATATACTTGTGTTCATGGATTGTAAGTCTCAATATTGCTAAAGTGTCAATTATCCCCCAAAATGAACTGTTGATTCAACACAATCCCAATAAAAATTCCAACAGGATTCTTTTTGGTAGCAAGTGACGAGCTGATTTTTAAATTCATATGGAAAGGCAAAGGGCTTAAAAATAGCCAAAACAACCTTGAAAGAGAACAAAGTTGGACGACTTATACTACCTGACTTTAAGATTTATTATAAAGCTATCAAGATTTATTATAAAGCATGGTATTGGCATAATGATCCAAAAATAGATGAATGGAACAGAACAGAATCCAAAATGACCTTCACATGTATTGTCAACTGACTGTCAACAAGGTGCAAAGGCAATTCCCTGGAGAACAAAGTCTTCAAAACAAATGGTACTGGATCAACTAGATAGAAAGTCTTATGCAAAAAAACAAAGCAAACGATAAAAATAAAAACAACAACAACAACAAAAACTCTCACCACAAACAGATACCAATTCAAAACAAATCATATACCTAAACGTGAAATGCAAAACTATAAAACTACTAGGAGAAAACACATTAGAAAACCTTTGTGACACTGATTTAGGAAAAAATTTCTACAACAAAAGCATGCTTCTTCGAAGAAAAAGAATTATAAACTTTATCACAATTAAGATAGGTCTTCTGCTCTTCAGAAGATGCTCTTAAGAGAATGAAAGATGAGCCACAAGCTGGGAAAAAATATTTTTCCAACACATTTGTCAAAGGACACAAACCGAATACATAAAGAACTCTCAATATTCAGTAAGAATCTATCCAATTTTTTTAAAATAAACAAAACATACAAACAGATATCATCAAAGAAGTTACGTGAATGGCAAAACATGAAAAGATACTCAACATCATTAGTCACAACAAAAATACAAATTAAAACCACAGTGAAGTATCACGGTATCCCTATTGGAATGTCTAAAATTAAAGAGAATGACCATACACTAATACAATGCTGCTGGGAATGTAAGATGGTACAAGCACTTTGGAAAACAGGGTGGCAGTTTCATAAAAACTAACATGCACCTACCACATGTCTCAGTGATCCCACTTCTAGGTATTTACCCAAGACAAACAAAAGCATATGTCCATGCAAAGACTTGTACAAGAATGCTCCCAGCAGCTTTATGTATAGTAGTCAAAAGCTGGAGACAACCCAAATGTCCATCACTAGCTGAATGAATACACAATTGTGGCATATCCACAACATGGAATATTTAGCAATAAAAAATAATGACCTATTAATAGACACATGGATAGACATGGATGGGTCTCAAAATCAACATGGATGGATCTCAAAATAATTATGCTGAGTGAAAGAAGCACGGCAAAAAAGAATACAAACTATGATTCCACTTATATAAAATCAAAGAAAATGAAAACTAACTACAGCGCAGAAAGGAGGCGAGTCACTCTCTGGAAAGCAGGGAGAGGAGCAGGAAGGAGGGACCACAAAGGGGCACAAAGTGCCTTTGGAGGTGATGGGTTTGCACATTACCTTGATTGTGATAATAATTTTACAGGTGGACATTTATATCAATACTTATCAATTGTTCACTTTAAATATATGCAACTTATTACATGTCGATTACACATCAATAAAGCTATTTTTTAAAAAAGCATTCACCACCAAATGGAACTGACACTAAAAAAAAGAGGTTAATTTGAATCATAAAAAAATAAGGAAAATTAATTTATTTTTATACATGGGTGAAATGTATACTCATTAAACAACATATAGTGTTAAAAATTATGATGAAATTGGGACAGAACTTTAGGTTAGATTGGTAGTTAAGGGTGAAGAGGAAAGGATGCAGTAAAGATAGCTTTTTAAAGAAATTTTAAAACACACACATACTATACATGTGTACTTCTCTTCATAGCTGCAGTGTCTTTCCAATTTCTTTTTACCCAAATTATTTAACAATGGGTCTTCTCTTTTATCTGACAGAACCACATACCCACATAGAGTACTGTGCTGTAATAGAGAATGGGATAGGCTGATGCTGTTTACCTGCTGTTTTATAAGAGACAATTTCTCTTTGTGTTGTAGGGACACCAGTAAATTATAACCAAATTGAAAGCAATACTTCAGAAACAGAACTAGAGTAAACTTAACATACCAAGAAATTTTCTAAAATTTGACTTTTTTTAAAAGAAAGAACATCTTACAATCAATCCTACTTTCTAATACTTTAAAATTTCCTTCAGCTACAGAAGAACAGGTATACAGTAGGCCCCTCTTATCCACAGTTTCACCTTCCACAGTTTCACTTAGCCAGTCAACCATGGTCTGGAAACATCAAATGGAAAAATCCAGAAATAAACAATTCTTAAGTTTTAAATTGCACACCATTCTGCGTAGCATGATGAAATCTCATGCTGCCATCCCACTCCATCCCATCAGGGACATGAATCATCCCTTTGTCCAGCATATGCTATGCGCCCTTTAGGTCACTCAGTAGCTATCTAGGTCATCAGGTCAACTGCTGTAGTACCACAGCACTGTTGTCCAAGTAACCCTTATTTTACTTAATAATGACCCTAAAGCACAAGAGTAGCGGTGCTGGCTTATTATTATAATTGTTCTATTTTATTATTAGTTGTTGATAACCTCTATGCCTAATTATAAATTAAACTTTACATACAGATGTATGAATGTTTAAAAATATAGTATATAGAGAGGATTTGGTGCTATCTCTGGTTTCAGACATCTACTAGGAAACTTGGAACGTATGCCCCGTGGATAAGGGAGGACTACTGCATAACCCGTACAAGCAGCTGGACAGATAACCACCCCCCTTACCACTCAAAAGCCACCACAGCAAAGGGATGAATCCTGGACTCTCGCTGATGTATTTCAAGCCTTTCAAATTGATGCTTACATTGTATAGGGACATCAGCATTAGCCTGAAATGTAAAAGAAAAAGGTGTTGGAATGCTCCATCCACACTACATTTCACCCTAAACATACCTACTAGTTAAGAGGAACTTAACGTATTTAGAGCTTCCCTCACATTTTAGATGTCCAATTCTATAATGTGAATTAATAACATCTGTCTACGTGAGGCTACAGGAAAATGGGAAACTTCAGCAATGATATCACATAATACCGCCTTTCATAGCCTCACATAATCAAGAGTCTCGATTGCAGAGAGGGTCCCACGGGAAGCCTCACAAACCATATTTATTGATTCATTTCTTTTATTACCAATCCTGCATTAACATACAGGTTACCCTCAATTTGTAAGAGTACTATACTCTCAAAGTTCAATTCAGCCATCTAAAACCTAATGACATATTTTCATTCAATGAACATTACGCATGACATCCAGGTAGCCAGGTCAGGCCACAGGACTACATAATCACAGTACAAGGAATGAAGAATACTACAACCCAACCATCCCTCACAACCAACAGAGCAGTTTACTGAATAGGACAGGACTTTATAAGCTGTTTTGGGATTGAACCGTGGCTGGCAATGCAGAGTCTGATGAAAGTCAGAAACTACAGGACTTTGGTTTCTGCAAATACTGCAAAATACAGAGAACCCAAACACTTTACACTGCAGAGCAATAAAAAGGCTAGACAAATATTTTTTGCAAAGCCTTTGAAATAATGAATGAATTTGCAAGAAATCAAAGGAAAACATCTCTGATCAGGAACAAAGTAAGAGCACAAAATCTTAGAGGAAAGTGCAAAAGATGCTACAATTCCAAAAGACTAGAGCTTCAGTTACAGTGGCTTCACGCAGAGGGACCGAGCGAAAAGCCTCAGAGAGACACGGACATTCATTTCACAGGCCCTGCAGAAACCAGAAGAGAGGAAACTTTCAAGCTTAGCATGAATTCACATTTTTGGCAGGCCTGAAAAATCCCCAAGCCAGTAATTTTAATATAAAACAGACCTGGGATAGAAGCTCCCCCAGCTTCCTGGACATTAAAGGAAAGGATCCTCAACCTGGTCTTCAAAGAATTCCCACAAATACATACTAGCAAATGGGAGTTCATAACAAAAATCATAATATGACGCATGAGAAAAAGAAGACCAGGTAAGCAACAGCCAGCACAAAGAACCAATAACAGGGCTAGAACCAAAAATTTTTCAGATACTAGAAGTATCAACTGCAGAATATAAAACTGGTATGTTTAATGGGTGAAGATAATTTTAAAAGAAATTAAAAACATAATCAAGAAGCTAGGATTACTATTTTGAATGACCAGCCAATTCAAAAATAACAGCAGAATGTACAAAAATGAAAACAATAATTAAAATGTAAAACTCAAGGGTAATTAGACACATGGAAAAGGAGAAATACTAAACAGAAAAGACAGCTTAAGAAACTACAGCAAGAAAGAAAAACAGATTAAAGAAAGATAAAAGTACAAGGAGGCAAAGGTGGAAAAGTTCAACATTCTTCCAAATAGGGTCCACAAAGAAAGAACAGAAAGAATGAAGGAAAAAAATGTTTCAAAAATATTTCCCAGAAATGAGTAAATATAAACCCTCAGATTCAGGAGGCACAAAAACATCTCAAGAAAGATAAAAAATAAATACAAATCTACACACATCACAATCAAACTTTAGAAAATTAAAGACAAATTTTGTAAAGCAGCCAGAGAGAAAGGACATATTACCTATAAAAGAGTAATTACACCAAAAGCTGGGCTCTCTATATCTACCAAGGGTAAAGAGAAAATAATAATAAAGCTAGAATTGTGAACCCAGCAAAAATATTTTCAACAAAAGAGGTAAAGTAAAAATGTTGTCAAAGAAAATCTCAGACATTTTTAAATGTATCTGAACTGAAAGAATTTGAAGGACAGACTTCAGAAAAAGGAAAATGACGTTGGAAGAATGTTCTGAGATACAAGGAGGGAGTAAGTAAAGGGATGTGAGTGTACAGAAGTAAACACTGGGGGGTAAAAGCAGTCATTAAAATGTCTACTCTATGGGATTTTTGAAACTTTTCAACAGAGCTAAGATACAGTCCATGAATGCATATAATCCAGGATGTAAGTATTAGAGCATTCTAAGATCCTTCTACTGTTTAGGTGAGAAAGACATTAATTACTTTCAAGTATACCAAATACATCAAATCATGCTTTAAAAAAGGGGCTATCACTGAAAGAAACAAGGGTAAACTTTCAAGACACTAGAAGAATAAAATGAACTCAGAAAAGATCTTAGTGACTTTGAAAGAAAGATAACAGAGTAAGACCCTGTTGAAAGAAAGAATAGAAAAGGAACGAAAAGAGAAGAAGGGAGAGAGAGAAGGAAGAAAGACGGTGGGAGGAAGGGAAGGAGGGAGACAGGGAGGGAGGAAGCGAGGGAGAAAGAGAGGTAGGGAGGGAAAGATAACTTGGAAAAATCATAATAAAAAGAAAAACAAAATATGACAGAATAAATAAATCCAATTATTTCATTAATCACAAATGTTAATGAACAGGATACTCCTATTAAAAGGCATAGATTATAGATGGTTAGATTAAAGGAAAAACAAAATGCAACCATGGACTGTTTCAAAGAAACACACCTGAAACAAAAGTTTCCAGAAAGGGGCCAGGAGTGGTGGCTCACACCTGTAATCCCAGCACTTTGGGAGGCCAGGGTGGGCAAACTGCTTGAGGCCAGGAGTCCAAGACCACCCTGGCCAACATGGCAAAACCCTGTCTCTGCTGAAAATATTAAAAAATAGCCACATGTGGTGATGTGTACCTGTAGTCCCAACTACTAGAGAGGCTGAGGCAGGAGAATCTCTTGAATGCAGGAGGCAGAGGTTATAGTGAAGCAAGATCGCACCACTGCATTCCAGCCTGGGCAACAGAGTGAGACTCTAAAAAAAAAAGTTTGCAGAAAGTTGAAAGTAAAAGAATGGGAAAAGATATATCAAACAAATACTAATGAAAAAAGAAGAAAGAGAAGGCTGAGGTAGCTACATTAACAGAAAAGAAAACAGACTGAGTGCAGTGGCTCAGGCTTATCATCACAACACTTTCAGAGGCTGAGGTGGGCGGGCAGCTTGAGCCCAGGAGTTGGAGGTCAGCCTGGGCAACATGGCAAGACCCCGTCTCTGCAAAAAATACAAAAACAGCTGGGCATGATGGCACGCCCCTGTGGTCCCAGCTACTGGAGCAGCTGAGGTGGGAGGATCACTTGAGCCCAGGAGGTCGAGGCTGCAATGAGCTGTGACAGTGCTACTACACTCCAGCCTGTGTGACAGAGCAAGACCCTATCTCAAAAATAATAACTAAAAATAATAATAATGTTAAAAGAAGGGAAAGCATCTTTAAAAATTAAGAGGCTAATTTTTTTTTTTTTTTTTTTTTTTTTTTTTTTTTGTGAAACAGAGTTAGAGTGCAGTGGCGCCATCTCGGCTCACTGCAACCTCCGCCTCCTGGGTTCAAGTGACTCTCCTGCCTCAGCCTCCTGAGTAGCTGGGATTACAGGCATATGCCACCACACCCAGCTAATTGTTGTATTTTTAGTAGAGATGGGGTTTCACCATGTTGGTTAGGCTCTCGAACTCCTGACCTCATGATCCGCCCACCTCAGCCTCCCAACGTGCTGAGATTACAGGCATGAGCCACCACGCCCGGCAAGGCTAAATATTTCATACTGAAAAGTTCAGTTCATCAGGAGGGTAGCATTTTAAACTTGTATGTACCTAATAATATAGCCTCAAAAATACATAAAGGCACAAATTGATAAAACTACAAGAAAATGCTGACCAGTCCACAATAATGGTAGATTTTAAGGCACCTCTTATAGCACTTAATACATTAAGCTGATTCTCTGATCCACCACATAATTAAGTTAAAAATCATTTTTTAAGTAGGTTTTAAAACTCCAACATTTAGAAAACTGAAAGTACATCTCTATAAGAATAAGTCAAAGAAATTATGAGGAAAATTGGGAAACTGAACAAGAATGAATATACAAAAATAAAACTTGTGATGCTAGTGAAATACACACACACACACACACACACACAGCCTTTAATACTTATTCCAGAAAAAAATAGCTGCAGCAATGGCAGAGTAACTTGCATTGGACTAACCCTCCACCAATAAGAATCACAAATTCTGAACAAAATATAGGAACCATTTAAGGGGAATGGAAAGCAGCCAAAGGCAGGCAGAAACTGAAGAGAAGTGCCCCCTTGAAAGAAGAGGGGTGGCTCATGCCTATAATCCCAGCACTTTGGGAGGCCAACATGGGAAGACTGCTTGAGCCCGGAGTTCAAAACCAGCTTGGGCAACACAACAAGATCCCATCTCTTCATTAAAAAACAAACAACAACAGAAAAAAAACCATTAGATAGGCATGGTGACACATGCCTAGAGTCTCAGCTACTCGGAAGGCTGAGGCAAGAGACTTACTTGAGCCCAGGGATGTCAAGGCTGCAGGGTTGTGACGGTGCCAGCCACTGCACTCTGGCCTGCGTGACAGAGCAGGACCCTGTCTCAAAAAAAAAAAAAAAAAAAGAGAATTTTTTTTTATAAAGAGGCAAATATATTGAGGTTTAGACAAGGCCACATAGCACCAGGCAGCGACCCTCAATCAGAAACCTGGGGATGACCAGCTTGAGAAGTAAAACCACAGAGTCCAGGGTCACCAGGGTGGAAAGAAAGGGAAGAAGATACCTAGAAAGGAGGGTTTCAGAACAAGGGAGCACTAAAATGTGCATGAAAACCCTCCAAGGTCCTGGCCTCTAAATGGCACAAGTGTGAGGCAGAGAAAGAGGGAGAGCTGCAAGGCAGAGGAATGAGGCACAGCTCTGCTGCAGACCACATCCAGAGAGCCAGAGCTCAGGTATGAGTCAGGCAAAGCTGACAGCCAGCTAGGACACACATAATTCCCTTCAGGAAAAGATAACAGAGTCCAGAGCCCCCACAACCTACCTTCTGCCACCTCCAGTACACATGCTATCAAATAAACACTGAACTAGCACAGCCGGCTAGGATGAGGAGAGTAAGCCACTTGCTTTGGGTGTAAATTTAAGGGAGTATCAAAATGCCCAGTGGCCCATATTTTTAAAAATGTAATGCAATATTTTAAAAAAATATATTAAAAATGCCCTAATAAGCAAAACTTTAATTTTTTACTTTTTTTTCCTAGAGCTAGGGTCTCACTTTGTCACTCAGGCTGGAATGCAGTGGCACAGTCATTATTCACTGCCACCTAGAATTCCTGGGCTCAAGCAATTCTCCTGCCTCAGCCTCCTGAGTAGCTGAGACTACAGGCATGTGCCACCACACCCAGCTTATTTTTTAATTTTTTGTATGAGGTCTTGCCATCTTGCCAAGGCTGGTCTTGAATTCTCGGCCTCAGGCAATTTTCCCACGTCGGCCTCCCAAAGTGCTGGGATTACAGGCATAAGCCATTGTGCCCAGCCCAAAATTTTAAATAAAGATGGAACTGGTCACATACTGGAGCCTAAGGCAAAAGGAAAAATCAGTAATACTGACCAAGTCCATTATAAAGGGACTAACTAAATATACTATGGTACATGTAACACATGCATGCCATAGAAAATTTCTATTGTAGTTCTCTATTAAAATCTCTGGTTTCCCCACTAAACTTTGTCAAAAGCAAGCTCCGTGCCTTATCTTTATCATCTCACAAACTAGTATAGTAAGACTGGACACAATAAGCACTCAATTTATCTACTGAAAAGTGAATCAACTCCCAGTGATTAAAGATCAAAATATATAAAAGCTAAGGTCTTCCTTCTCACCCATGTGACCATAGGCACTTTCTTTTTTTTTGTTTTTTTGTTTTTTTGTTTTGAGACAGAGTCTCGCTCTGTCGCTGAGAGAGACAGACAGGCTGGAGTGCAGTGGTGCAATCTCGGCTCCCTGCAACCTCCACCTCCCAGGTTCCAGCAATTCTCCTGCCTCAGCCTCCTGAGTAGCTGGGACTACAGGCGTGCACCACCACACCCGGCTAATTTTTGTGGGTTTTTTTGTTTTTTTTTTTTAGTAGAGACGGGGTTTCACCATGTTGGCCAAGCTGGTCTCAAACTCCTGACCTCAGGTGACCCACCTGCCTTGGCTTCCCAAAGTGCTGGCATTACAGGCATGAGCCACCATCCCTGGCCGACCATGGGTACTTTCAAAGTCCCTGGCAATGCTCTGGAGCCAGAAAAGACAGAGCTATGCAAGCACCCTCCAGAACAGGGTGCTCAGTTCTCAAAACAAGGTCCTCAGCCTCCCAGCGGGCTACAAAATAAGCCACACTGCAAGTTCTTTCAAGTTTCACTGACAATTTTTACATGAATTCAAAAGCTACTCACTAGTAACCTATTTAATGAGGTATTAAGGGCTACTCAAATGTAGTGTTCATGAGGAAAATTTAGCACCTTAACTAGAATTCAGTGAGGTGTCGAATCCAGTATTCCAAGAAAAGTTCCTGCTTCAGATCACAAACACAGAGAGTTGGAATTCCTTAGAATTAAATATATTGCCCAAGGCTGCTTTCACACAGGCAGTAACAGCAGAACTGAGTCACCGCAACAGAGATCGTACGACCCCAAGAGCCTAAAATATTTTCTGTCTGACACTTTACGGAAAAAGTTTGCTGACCTCTGCCTTACAGCATGAAACTAAGATAAACCAATCTTCTGTATGTCTTAAAAAGCAAAGCTAGCATCTGGTAATAACTGTAATACAGGGAAACCTTCTGAAAAGATGGCCAGTTGAAATTCTTTGCTGACTGCCATTTAGATTTAAGGTGGCAAAAACAACTCCCAAGTTGGCAGATGTCTTTAAATTTTCATATTTGGTCAAAATCAGTTATCCTTAAGAAGCTAAAATGAAACACATACTTACAACAACCATGTTGCCACCTGAGACCTCACGTCACTGCCAAGATACATCTCACAGAAGACCAAAGACTTCTAGGTCACACAAGAGTTAGCAAAAAATAAACCCAAAAAACTGTTTCTTATGCAAATGTTTCGTCTAATATAACATTTCTATTCCAACCAAAAATATTTGTAAATAGTGTATCAAGTTTCCAATTATCAAGTCTAAAGAGACTGCCCATTCATTTTACTCTTCTAGTATTGAAATATTAAATGTTATTTCTTGGCCAGATGCAGTGGCTCATGCCTGTAATCCCAGCACTTTGGGAGGCTGAGGCGGGCAGGTCACTTGAGGTCAGGAGTTCGAGACCAGCCTGGCCAACATGGTGAAACCTCATCTCTACTAAAAATACAAAACTTAGCTGGGCGTGGTGGCGCACACCTGTAGTCCCAGCTACTCGGGAGGCTGAGGCAGGAGAATCATTTGAACCCGGGAGGCAGAGGTTGCAGCGAGCCAAGATGGCACCACTGTACTACAGCCTGGGCAATAAAGTGAGACTCGGTCTCAAAAAAAAAAGGAAGAAAGAAAATGTTATTTCTCAAACTAGTGTACTAAGTGTTAGACTTTTTCTTCCAATGACAAAAAAAAAAAAAAAAAGTAGGCAAATTCTGCTTCCTGCCACAAACCTCAGCAGAAAACCTGTTATACATGGGACTAACAGGCTCCAAAAGAGCAACTTCCCAGTCTCTGCAGTCTTGATCATCTAAGACACATCTGACATTTAAAAGGACTGAAAATATGGCTAAAATAAAGGTACTGGTGAACTCGAAATGCTACATAAGCAACACGAGTAACTCATCTTCGATAAAAAGCAAGTTCTCTTTACCTAAATATACAAGGTCTCAGGGCTGAACAAGCACAAGGTGTGAAAAGCAAGAAAGCACTCCTCCACAGGCCAACACAACTGAGTCACTAAAGGTAAAAGTGACAACTTGACCACCTTATTCTTCATCTTAAAAGAAAATATAACTTGCAACCTACGAGTAACAGAATAAACACGCCCAGTACTTCAAAACAAACTAGCAATAAAAATAAGCAAGAAAAAGGAGTATCTGTGAAGTTCACTGCTCAGAAACAAGCCAATCAGTGATGCTAAACTGACCAAAATCTAAGGTAGTCAAATTAGCACCATAAAGTAATTCTACTGTACAATAAGTAATAAAATTCTTACAAAAGACTGCATGTAATTTGAGAAAGCAATTGGCACAGCAATATTACATTTTTAGACCAAATTATTCTTGACAGAAACTTAAGAGGCCTACCAATTTTTCATTAGACAGAGTACAGTAAGTAATGACTTAACAGACTTTAGATTCTGTGCCTCTTTCCTCAGTCAAGTTAGAACCTAAAAACCTGTGGTCTATATCATGTCATCCTCAAATATCTGTATGTCAATTTGTATCTATTATGTTACAATGAAGACATACAAAAAGATATAAAGAATAATACAATACCCACCTCCCTGGTTAAGAAAGAAACCCTATAACCAGAGTTGAATTCCCTTGGTGAACGCTACCCAAAGGCGTGCTTCAGGGAGGTGTAACCACAGCTATGTCTGATATTTAAACTAGCCACGCATTGCTAATACTTTAGGTATGGAATCTTTTTTCTTTGCACGTCTGCATCAACAGCAGCATACTGCAGGCAATCTTCCACGCCATGGTGAGATTTGTTTATGTTGATTTCTATAGCTCCAACCTATTTCCACTGATATATGCCAACTTTTTAACTAATCACAATTTATTTATCTGTTCTCCATCTTGTAGACATTTAGGTAATTTCCTAGTTTGTGCTATTACAAACACCACTGCTATAACATTTTCTGTACAAGCATCCTGGTATCCTATGGAAAACGTTCTCTGGAGTACACATGCAGACGGGGACTCTGTCCTCGGCATGTGCAGACACAGCCTCCACAGACACAGGCCAGCTGGCTCCACGTACCCTCCAGCAGCACATGGACAGGTGTAAGCTTCACTGTGGCTTCACGTCCAATCGGAAGCTTGTAATCATCAGACTGTGATTTTTTTTTCAATGAGAGGCACCGAAAAGGCATCTTATTAGGGTTATAATTTGCTTTCCCCTGATTACTATGGAGAGCAAGAATCTTTCCCATGTTTATGAAGCTGCTGCGTGTTTTATTCTATAAATTGCCTGATTTTTTTCTTTTGCCTATTTGTGTATTTGGTTATTTGCCTTTTCCTTATTGAAAAGGCCAAATAAGCAAATTACTTAGCTATACCTGTTTTTTCTTAAAATGTACACAGAATGACCAAACTAGACAGGGTAAAACCCAAAAATGCCTTTCAGAAGAGCCGATGTTCACAGCACCATCTACCAATTTATAACTCAACAGAGACCAATTCAGTGGCTGGTAAGCACATTGTAGCTGAAAGCTGTACCACCTGGAAATAATACACATTAGTTCACAGGCCCCAAATGACTTCCAGATATTGACTTTTGTTAATATCTGGAAATGATGAGGACTCTAAACTTAGGAATTTGAACATTATCTAGATACAGTTTGTCTTGAAAACATACTTCCTTCATTAGGACAATTAATTGTAATGCAATGTCTTAAAATTATCTTACAAGATCCCTAATGATAACTTTCCTATCTAGAGTTACTAAAGCTTTGACTGGAAACTGGTTAGAAACCCCATCATGTCTGAAGATTTCTTTTCAGCCAATACTTATGTGAAAAAGGGATCGGGCCACCAAAATGCACAGTAACACTCTGTAGAACTTTTAATAACAAACAAGGGAGAACCACACCCAGAAAGTGAGGATTTGCTCTCACTCATCATGCAACATTTACTGAGCATCTTCTCTGTCCTGGACTCCACACTCTCCAGAAGTTTACAGGAAACGGGAGAGAGACAAACAAAGCAACTAGTGAACAAAGTGTGGTACAAGCTTCACAGCTTCCTCTCCACACTTAGTTCTAAAAGGCTGCTATTGTCTTAAGACATTTTGTGGAAACACTTCTAGAAGCATCTTCGAAAAATGCAATCTGCACTGTGACTATTCCAGACGAATTCTTTGGAAAACGGGAGCTTGTGGGTGGCTCCAACCTGCAGATGCAGCCACACAGCTACTCCACAGAGAAATGGGACGATACCATCACCCTCATTTGCCCACAAAGGTGAGCTGGTTTTCCTGCAGAGCTCAGAGCTGCTTCTGAAGTCATCTGCACAAAGAACCCAGAAACTTTCACAAGCCATACTCTCACTGATGACATTCAACTGGTAACACCTGGGGAAGATGCTGGGCAGGATAAACCAACAGTAACTTCGAGAAACAGGAACCACATAGAGCCCAAACTCCAAGAGGCATTTCTGTAACCCTCTACCCTGTGCCTGGATGAGAAAACCTTGCTGAGCCACTGTTCTCCCACACATGCCAAATATTCTCTGGCCCATTGACAGTGAAATGCACTGTGTCAGTTACCTCAGCTTAGTAAAAGCAGAGGTGTTCTCATCACAGACACTACACCCCAACTGGAAATCCAAGGAGAGGGTTATCCTGAGAACCAAGTGACCATTCAGGAATGTGGGTAGCTCCCACCCCAGAGGCCTCTCTCCTCACTCGGGATGAAGAACCACCTTAAACTCTGGGCCTTCTGCCATCCCCTTCAATAACACCTCCAGCAGGTCTGACCTGAGAAGCCGCTAGTGTAGATGTGAAAAGGCCTTTCATGGCCTACTCAAGGACTGGTAAAATCATAGGCAGCGTGGGCAGTGAGGAAAAAAAATAACCCGGCCTCCATAAGGAAGTACAAAAAAAGGAAGGGAAACTTTAAACGCTGGAGAAATCCACAAGTCTAATAAAAAAAATAATAATTGCAGTTGCCTAAGTGTTACCAAGTATCAAGGAGGATGGAAACGCCAGGGTCATGTCACAGCAGCGGAGAAAGAGGAGCCGTAGAAAGGAGACTCTGGGCCCTCCACATGCAGCTCAGTGCCAGGACAGCGCTCAGGGCCCCCCGCAATCCCAAGGTCCAGGCACAGCACAGATCCTGCCCACACCAGGCCCTGGGAGCACAAGCCTGGGTGACCAGTGGCCGGAGGGGAAGGAAATGGACTGAGGTGGTGACGAAGGGGGACACTCCTGACACATGTCATTCCATGGCTGAATGACTAAGGAGAAATACACAGAGATGAAACAGACAGAACCCTGCCAGGGGCATGCCACCAGCTGACTGCACTGAACTGCCGCAGCCTTGGCTGACAGAGCTCACCCTGCACACAGTTCTGTCAAGTGGCCATCTCCAGCAGACACCTGAGAGGCTGATGGGAATGGGGAAAATTACCCATGAGGTATGGCTAAGACTGAAAAGCTATGACCACTACAGTAAACAGAATCCAGTCATCCTGCTGGCAGCACCAACCACCTTGAGGGGCCTCCAAGGTCAGCTGGTGTGTCTGGCCACCATATGCTGGAAGTTCCTAGATTTGGAGAGTTAAAAACAGGGTCTTCACAAAAAAAGGCAGATAAACTAGGAACAGCCCGAAACCATATGGCTGGGGAGGCTATGCCACTGAAAAAACTCACAGAGGCTGAGTCACAACAATGTCCCATGTACAACCCTATGAATGTTTGCCACAAAAGACATGGACATGTGGCCCAATAGCAGAATCCAGTCTGATCCACCACTGACCTGCAGGGCCCACAGGGATTTCTGGGGGAGGCAAAAAGAACACACCATGAGCCAGCTCTGCATTCTGGGAAAATGCAACATGTCATGGTAAACGCAGGCTGGCTAGTGGTTTGAAAGGGCAGCCGTGGCCTGGGAAGACAAAAGGCTAAACAGGAGCCAGTGGAGCAGGAGCGCTGGAAATACTGGAGCAAGAAATGACAGGCAACAGGGCACATCCCAGAGGAAGGCTCAACACAGAGGCAGGAGGATTACACACACACACCACAGCACACAGCACACACCACACACCACTCACCACTCACACACATCACACATACCACACACCACTCACACACATCACACACACCACACACACCATGCACAAACCACAAACACACCACACACACACACATCACGCACACACCACACACACACCACACAGCACGCACACCACACACACACCACACACACTACACACACACCATACACACCCCACACACCACACCACACACACACCACGCACACACCACACACACAACACACAGCACGCACACCATACACACACACACCACACACTACACACACTATACACACCCCACACACACACCACACACACCATACACACCCCACACACATTGCACACACACCAATATACACACACCACCATACACACATCACACATACCACATCATACACCACACAATCATACAGCACACACACCACACACACACCACACACACACACCACCACACACCACACACACACTACACACTGCACTCACACGCATCTCAGACACCACATACACCACACACACACCACTCACACACCATACGCACACCACTCGCATGCCACACCACACACATGCCACACTACACGCCACACACACCACCCACATCGCACACCACACACACCACACATCACACACACCACACCCACACACCACATACACACCATACACTACACACCACACACATCACACACACACCACAAAGACACATCACATACCACAGACATCACACACCATACACCACACACACACTACACACCACACACACATCACACATCACACCACACACATCAGACACCACACACACATCACACACACCACATACCCACCACACACACACCAGACACCACACACATCACACGTACCACATAACACAACACACATACATCACACACATCACACACACACCACACAGATACCACACACACATCAGACACACCACACACACACCAGCTGACTGCACTAATTGCCCCAGCCTTGGCTGACAGAGCCCACACACCCACACCACACACATACCAGACACACACCACACACCACGCACCCACATCACACACCACAGATCACACACACATCACACCCCACACACAACACACCAGCTGACTGCACTAACTGCCCCAGCCTTGGCTGAAAGAGCCCACAAACACACATCACCCACCCCCCGACACACACACCACACACACACCACACATTCCCCACACCACACACACACTCCAACACACACACATACACACACCCCCACATATGCAGCCCACACACCCCCACACGCCACACCCACACACACACCCACACATATCCCCCCACGCACCTCCCACAAACACACATACCCCATACCCTCCACATGTACATACACACCACAAACATCCCCCAACATACACATACCACACACACACATCCCCCTCACATAGCCACACACACCATGCATACCACACCCACATCTCCACCCACACACAAAATACACACATCCCAATCCCTCATAGTCCCACATATACAAACACACCACAGTCACACACATCACATGACACCCACCTCCCCCCAACATATATACACACACACCACACACATTCCCTCACACTCACACCATAAACATGCCCCACACAAACGCATACACACCATACACCCCAAAAAATACCCACATACACATACACCACACCCAAATACATCCTCATTTCCCCACGCCCCGCCACATATACACACCCACACCACACACACACATCCAGGCCATACGTGCCTCTGACACGTGAGAAGAAAAAGCAAAGGGGAGTGGAATAAACAAGGGAGGGCCAAGCTGAGGCGGCCACACTCACACCCTTGACTCTGTGCAGCAGGAAGTAAAGCCGCCTGCCGGGACACCCACCTACCAAGGAAGAGCAGAGCAGGAAGTAAAGCCGCCTGCCGGGACACCCACCTACCAAGGAAGAGCAGAGCAGGGAGGCCGTGAGGATCACACCCGAGGTCTGCCTCCACCAGTGTGGAAATGAGTGGGAGCTGAGAAAGGACATAGAAGAGGATTCCAGGGTGCTGGAAACCGGGAGAAATGACGAGAGTCCGTGCACACAAGAAAGCTTCTTCCCAAACCTCACTCAACAGCCCCAGCTGTAGGAACAGAGAAGAAGGATGGCTGGGCTGATCCAAGGTTGAAAGCATCAGGAAATGTGATGCACACTGGGGCTGGGTGAGCTGGAGGGAGGGGAGGCCATGGAGGCAATGGTGTGAGCAGGAGGAAAGAGGAGGGAGGAGGAGCAGGAGGTCTTGCAGTTTAGAGGGAACAATGGTAGGAAAAGGAGGCAGGGAGGAGAGGAGGTATGGCCTGAGTGCTACAGCAATGTTTACCAGACAGTCCACCTGATGACAATGTGCAGGGTCTGGCCCAAGGCAGACTACTGCCACAGTGAAGGGCACAGCAAATCTTGGGAGCTGAGAAAGGCAGGTGGCCTTGAAATTAGATTGTTGAATGAATCACCCCTAAACATGTTCAAGTCATTCAAGATAGCAGGAAATGGGGAGGGGGACACCAACAAGCCAGTACTCAGTGAACAAGGGAAATGCCTGGATGGTCAGAAAAGTACAGTGATGAGAAAGGCTGGATGTGAAGAGAGCAACTGGTTGCTTGAATTTTCAAGGAGGAAAAAAATTCGCATGAGATTGGAAGAGAAACAGCCTTTTAAAAATGAGCATTCTGGGACATTTCATTAAAAATAAAAATGGGCAGCTAGAAGAAACACTTCCCCTAAGAACTGGAATAAGACATAGAGATATCCACTCTTACCGCACCTATTCAACACAGAACTGGAGGCCAGGTGTGGTGGCTCAAGCCTGTAGTCCCAGCACTTTGGGAAGAGCCAAGGAAGGCGGATCACTTGAGCTCAGGAGTTCAAGACCAGCTTGTGCAACATGGCGAAACCCTGTCTCTACAAAAAACTACAGAAATTAGTCAGGTGTGGTGGCACACACCTGTAGTCCCAGCTACTCAGGATGCTCAGGCAGGAGAATCGCTTGAGATCAGCAGGTCGAGGCTGCAGTGAGCCGTGATTATGCCACTGCACTCCAGCCTGGGTAAAAGGGTGAGACCCTGTCTCAAAAAAAAAAAAAAAGGTTCAAGCTGAGAGCCAAATCAACAACACAATCCTATTTACAACAGCCACACACACACACAAAAACCTAGGAATACATCTAACCAAGGGAGTGAAAGATCTCTTCAAGAAGAACTACAGAACACTGCTGAAAGAAGTATCATAGATGACACAACTGGAAAAACATTCATGTTCATGGACTGGAAGAATCAATATCATGAAAATGTCCAAACTGCCCAAAGCAATCTACAGATTCAATGCTATTGCTATTAAATTACCAACATCATTTTTCATAGAATTAGAACAAACTCTTCTAAAATTCTTATAGAACCAAAAAAGAGCCCAAATAGCCAAAGCAACGCTAAGAAAAAAGAACAAAGCTAGAGCCATCACACTGCCCACCTTCAAACTATACTACCAGGCTACACTAACTAAAACAGCATAACACTGGTACAAAAATAAACACATAGACCAATGGAACAGAATACAGAACCCAGAAATTAAAGCTGCACACATACAGCCAATTGACCTTTGACAACATTGACAAAAATAAGCAATGAGGAAAGGACTCCCTGTTCAATAAATGGTGCTGGGAAAAATAGCTAACCATATGTAAACGAATGAAACTGGACCACTACCTCTAACCACAGATAAAAATTAACTCAAGATGGATTAAGGACTTAAATGTAAGACCTCAAACTATAAAAGTCCTAGAACAAAATCTAGGAAATAGTCTTCTGGATATCGGCCTAGGCAAAGAATTTGACTGAGTCCTCAAAAGCAATTGCAACAAAACCGAAAATTGACAATTGGGACATAATTAAAATAAAGAGCTTCTCCACAGCAAAAAAAACTATCAACAGAGTAAACAGACAACCTACAGAATGGGAGAAAATATTCGCAAACTATGGATCCAACAAAAGTCTAATATCCAGAATCTATAGGGAAGTTAAGTTAAACAAATCAACAAGAAAAAACACACAACCTCATTAAAAAGCAGGCAAAGGGCAAGAACAGACACTTCTTAAAAGAAAACATATAAGCAGCCAACGAAACATGAAAAAATGCCCAACATCACTAGTCATCAGGGAAACGCAAATCAAAACCACAATGAGGTACTATCTCACACCAGTCAAAATGGCTATTACTAGAAAGTCAAAAAACATCATGTTGGCAAAACCACTGAAAAAAGGGAACTCGTATACACTGTTGGTGGGAATGTAAATTAATTCAGCACCTATGGAAAGCAGTCTGGAGATTTCTCAAAGAACTAAAAACAGACCTAGCATTCAACCCAGCAATCCCATTACTTGGTAAATAGCCAAAGGAAAATAAAATTGTTCTACCAAAAAGACACCTGCCCTTATAAGTTTATCACAGCACTGCTCACAATAGCAAAGATAAGTGGTGGCTCATGCCTGAAATCCCAGCACTTTGGGAGGCTGAGGTGAAAGGATCACTTGAGTTCAGGAGTTCAAGACTATCCTGGGCAAGAAAGTGAGACCCCTATCGCTACCAAAAAAAAAAAAATTTTTTTTAATTAGCCAGGCATGATGTCACATGCCTGTAATCCCAAGTACTTGGGAGGCCGAGGCAGAAGGATTGCTTGAGCCCAGGATTTTCAGACTGCAGTGAGATAAGATAGCACCACTGCATGCCAGTGTGAATGGAACAGCCAGACCCTGTCTCAAAAACAAAACTAAACAAAACAAAAATAGCAAAGACATAGAATCAACCCAGGTGTCCATCAACAGTGGATTGGATAAAGAAAATGTGGTACATACAAGCCATGGAATACTTCGCAGCCAGAAAGAAAGACCACCACCATGTCCTTTGCAGCAACATGGATGCAGCTGGAGGCTGCCTCCACTTATCTTAAGTGAATTAATCCAGAAGTAGAAAACCAAATATTGCATGTTCTCATTTATAAGTGGGAGCTAAACCCTTGGTATACGCGGACATAAAGATGGGAACAAGAGACACTGGAGACTCCAAAAGGAGAGAGGGAGGGAGAGGAACAAGGACTGAAAAATCTCCTATTGGGTACTATATCTACTATCTGAGTGACAGATTCAACAGAAGCCCAAACCTTGGCATCACGCAATATACTCTTGTAACAAACCTGCACATGTACCCCCTGAATCTAAAATTTAAATTTAAATTTTTTTAAAAAATGGGCAACTAGGAAAAAAATAACCCCTATCTCTGGGTCTAAGGTACTAACTGCTGAAAATGAGTGACCTTCGATCATGAAAGTGGCAGTGAAAGTGTAGTTCCCCAGAGAGAGGCAAGCTATACACAAGGCAGGGGGAGGCCAGGAAGAAAAGAGGCTGATTTATAGTATGAGAAAGGTCTTGGGGCTCCAGAGGACTCAAGGGTGGGCGTTAGTGAAGTGGGGGAGGTGAAAAGAGGGGAGAAGAGTGCCTTGGAGATGTGGTGAGACGGAACAAGCCATGAGCATGTTGGAAGGCAGCCAAAGATCCCAGGGGGAAGGCCCCTCTCAGGCTGGTGCATGCTGAGATCCCGAGTCAGGATAGAGGGTAAACACGCGGCTTTGCTCAGTGGCCAAATGGAAGACTGCCAAGAAAGTCAGTGAATGGCTCTGAAGGCAATTCTCCCCATCTCCCACTGCAATCAACAAGAGCTCACCAGGACCCAAAGGCACAGAGCTCCAGGGACTGGAACCGGAGAGGCTAGAAGTGACCCAGCCCTCACACACAGCTTTGCCTTGGAAGTTGAAGGGGGACTTTAGCTGGCCCATAAATATGGACCTTGTACAGACCACAGAAGCAAAAGAGGCAATGGATTAGTATCCAGAACACACAAAGACCTACAGCAGATCACTAAGAAAAATGCAGCCCAACAGGAAAGTGGGCACAAGACACAGACAGGTGACTCAAAGGAAAAACTGGAATGGTACAAACATGTGAAGAGCCTCAACCTCACTGGCAATCTAAATCTGAAGGAAGGGAGAGAAGGACAAAGACAGACAGATGATAGGTGGATGATAAAAATACTCTTTAAGGCCAGGTCCAGTGGCTCACGCTGTAATCCCAACATTCTGGGAGGCTGAGGCAGGTGGATCACTTGAGCTTAGGAGTTTGAGACAAGCCTGGGCAACAAGGTGAGACCCTGTCTCTACAAAAAATACCAAAAAAAAAAAAAAAATTAGCTGCGCATGGTGGCGTGCAGAGTAGCTGGGACCCCAGTTACTTGGGAGGCTGGGATGGGAGGATCACTTGAGCCCCAGAGGTCGCGGCTGCAGTGAGCCGTGATTGCACCACTGCACTCCAGCCTGGGTAACACAGCAAGACCCTGTCTCTCCCCCTCTTCCCCCGGCACCTCTCTCTCCATATACACATATATTTTTTCTCTTTAGAGGAATATAATAAATAGCAAAGTGCTGACAAGGACGTGGGAAACACGAACACTGACATGGTGCAGGTAGAAATGTACACTATGGTGACCAATTTGGCAGTATCTTATCAAATTGAAAATGTCCATGTACTACTTCTCAAATATTTCCTCTGGGAAAACTCCTGGAGAACTCTCAGACAGGTTAGCAAAGAGTTTATCAAGGATGCTCACTACGGCATTATATTTGTCAAGTAAAACCCGAAAGTAACTTAAATGCCCATCAGTCAGGGAAGGATAATCCAAATATTACATCTCCTTTGATGCAAGGTACTTAAAAGGAATGAACTAGATCCACAAGCAATTTGTAAAATTATACCCCCAAACAAAACCATCTATGCCAGCCTGGGCAACATGGAGAGACCCCGTCTCTACAAAAAAATTTTTAAAATTTAACAATTAGCCAGGCATGGTGGCATGCACTGACGGTCCCAGCTGCTCAGAAGGCTGAGCTGGGAGGATAACTTAAGCCTAAGAGGTCGAGGCTGCAGTGAGCCATGTTCATACCACTGTGCTCCAGCCTGGGTTACAAAGCAAGACTCTGTCTCAAAAAAAAAATTTTTTTTGCATATATGTTACACTGTATTATATGTATTATGTATGTATAGATATTTGTTAGCACAAAATATTAAAATGGACTAGAAAGCTTGGTTCTGGATAAGATGGCCTGAACACACCCTCCAGTCTCGCTTCCACTGAATGCAGCTATAAATTCCAAAGAGAATACATGAAGCAGCTATTTGAGGACTCTGAAAAGTAAACAGTAGCAGGCAGATAGGGGAAGAAGATCAAAATTTTAAGAACCACTAAACCAGCAGAGAGTTTACCACTTTTTCCTTTAGTGTCCCTGGCCTGGACTCGAGGGAGCTCCAAAACCCAAAAGTAGCCCTGAGCCACACAGAGAGCACCAGGAGAAGGTCTCTAGTGAGGCTCAAGGAGTGGGAAAGGGGTCTCCTGCCAGCAACCAAGCACGGTAGCAGTGGGGACATCCCCCAGGTAACTCAAACTCTGGGGGAAAGGAATTTTTTCCTTACACCTGAAAGCTCTAAGAGCTTCTCAACTCCTGCCGCAGGGCGGGATGAGGGCAGAGTTGCAGGCACTTGGACACAGCAGGGTATATGAAGCCCCAGCATTCCAGGTGGGGGACTGAAAAAGGCAGTCCCAGGTAACTAAAGTGTACCCAGAGAGTTAACAGCTCAGAAAAGTGACCCCAAAAAGTTGTTTATAAATTCCTGGCCTCATCCCAAGTTGTGCCTGTGTGGATCTGATCATAAACAGTATCTGAAAGACTCTGAACCTAAGATCCAGACCACCCAGGTCTCAGACTGGCCACTGGGCGGCACTCACGAGGGGCAGTTCCAATAGCACTGTAAAGACTCTGAAAACAGGACGACACACTGAAACCAAACAGAGAAAAGGCTGGCTGGAATCTGACCCAAAGGGGTTGACTGCCTGTGAAAATATAAACACCAGCATTTCCCAAGGATTTAAACAAGACCAGTGATCACGTAAATGTCCAGGATAAATCCAAAATTACTTGGCATATGAAGAAACAGGAAAATCTCAACTCTCATGGGAAAAAACAATCAAGAGACACCGAGGCCAGGATGACACAGGTGTTGGAAGCACCTGGCACAGACTTTACAGAAGCTCTTACTTTTTAAAAGTGCTAGGCCGGGCGCAGGGGCTCACGCCTGTAATCCCAGCACTTTGGGAGGCCAAGGCGGGTGGATCACGAGGTCAGGAGATTGAGACCATCCTGGCTAACACGGTGAAACCCCGTCTCTACTAAAAATACAAAAAATTAGCTGGGCGTGGTGGCGGGCGCCTGTAGTCCCAGCTACTTGGAAGGCTGAGGCAGGAGAATGGTGTGAACCCGGGAGGCGGAGCTTGCAGTGAGCCGAGATCACGCCACTGCACTCCAGCCCGGGTGACAGAGCAAGACTCCGTCTCAAAAAAAAAAAAAAAAAAAAAAGTGCTCCACAGCAGGGGATGGTGGCACATGCCTGTAGTCCCAGCTACTCAGGAGGCTGAGGTGGAAGGATTATTTGAACGCCTAGGAGTTTGAGGCCAGCCTAGGCAAGGTCTGTAGAGACTCGGTCTCTTTAAAAAAATAATTAAAAAATAAAGATGCTCTAAGAAGTCAAAGGCAACACTCAGAACGAACAGTGTGAGTGGCAGAATCCTACACTGCCCCTCTCCCCAAGATTTCCTGCCCTAATCTCTGGGACTATAAATTATCACACGCTGATTATGTCATTGCCTGGAAAAGAGGATTCTGTAGATGTAATTAAGGTTACTAACCAGCTGACTCAAGAGTTAATCAAAAGGAGTTTATCCAGGTATGCCTCATCTAAACACACAAATCTATAAGAAGCAGAGTTTTTGCCTTCTTGAAGTAAACTTTTTAACAAAAGAATAAAAGCAGAGAGAGTTTCATCTTGCTGGTAGCAGAAGAGGAAGTCTCAGAGACTGGAAACGTGGGAAGGATTCAATGAGCGACTGTGGCTTGAAGATGGGGTCCCTGTGAGAAGCAATGCAAGCTGCCTCAGCAGCTGACCCACAGCTGACCAGCCAGCTGGGAAACAGGGAACTCGCTCCTAGAAACCAAGACACTGGACTCTACCAGCCACTTCAAAGTGCCCAGAAGCAGATTCCTCCCCTAGATTCTCTGAAAAGATCCCACCCTGGAAAACACCTCACTTTTGACCTATGCAGAGAACCTCTCAAACCCACTCAGACTTCTGACTTGCCAAACTATGAAATAATAAATGGTGTTGTTTTAGCCACCAAGTTGGTGATAATTTGTTACATAAAAATAGAAAACAAATACAGATTTTAGTAGCTGGAAGACAGATACCTATTTAAATTCATTTTGACATACCCATGAAGTACCATGTGATAATACTGGGACTCACTGATTGCTCTAAGGTGAGAACATTCCTTCCTTAAATTTATTTTCTAAAATGCTATTTAAGAGACAGTGCACGCCCTTAACTTCTCCAGGAATTTATTTCTTCTAGTTTTTAAAACTACCACCAAAATTAACTGTGTTTACTTGAAGAGAGGCCCAATCAGCACAGTCTAATTAATATGTAAATAGAATTAACTTTTTAACATTATCCACCATACACTTTGAGTTTGGTACACTGTCCTGGCTTCAAGTCTCCCAGAAGCTGCAATATGGTGTCCAAGAGCACCCGGCTTGAATTAACCAAGAATTCACGACCACATGCTATAGCAGCAACATCTGCAACAGAAAATGAAACAAAACATCAAGATCATTATGACTCAGAACCTAGACAATTTTGTGCAGAACAGAGTATTTTCTCCTAAAAGACCTAATGAAAACACAGCTGAAAATGAGGCATTTATAAATGAAATTGCTAGGCATGGTTGTTCACACCTGTAATCCCAACATTTTGAGAGACTGAGGTGGGAGGACTGCTTGAGGCCACAAGTTCAAGACCAGCCTGGGCAACACAGCAAGACCCTATCTCTACAAAAAATTTAAAAATTAGCCGGGCACGGTGTGTGCACCTGTAGTCCTAGCTATTCAGGAGGTAGAGGCAGAAGGATTGCTTGAGCCTAGGAGGTAGAGGCTGCAGTGAGCCATGATCATGACACTGCACTCCAGCCTGGGTGACAGAGCAAAGCCCTGTCTCAAAAAAAAAAAAAAAAAATTATCAACAAAAATGACAGCTCAGAAAGAATCACTGACAACCACAAGAGTTACTGAAATATCAAGTAATGTGCAGTGTGATTAGCAAGCGCCGAAAGAGTGAAACAGAGCCCTGGAATCTAACCAAGTCTGCGGTCACTATGCTCCAGAGTGCTGCATTAAACAGCTGTGGGCAGTCAGGGTCCAAACATAAGGTGGGGGCTGATTATCTTATCTGGGACTGAGGATGTGAAAATTCACTTTTAATGGCATCCGTAATCTGAAAACCCAAAATCCAAAATGCTCCAAAATCTAAAAATTTTTGAGCACTGACAAAGATGCACAAAGGTCATGCTCACAGAGCATTGCAGATTTCAGATTTTTGAATTAGAGTGTTGAACCAGTAGGTATAATGCAAGTATTCCAAAATCCAAAACACTTCTGGTCCCGGGCATTTCAGATAAGGAATATTCAATCTATATTTGCTAATAACTTTTAGCCATGATACAAACTGAAATTATATGTAGTCAAAAAAGAGTATGAAAATGGATTTTGAAGAAAACTTATTTTCTCAATTTTATGTCCCATTGTGGAACAGCAAGTATCCCATTTCTTCATGCCTGAGGCCCTGCGAATCGGCCTGAAGACCAGACCGAGTAATTACACTGCTCCCAATGGGCAGTGCTGCAGCCATTACTGGCTCCATCAACATTTCCAAATACCTCGAAGTATCCAATGATCCAAGTGCATTTATGTATGTGTTTGTTAAGAGTTTTCTTTAGTTGGGTCTGACAGTAAAGCATGATTCAAACTGACTAAGATTTCTAAGCCAAATGACGAGACCAAGGTGGAAAAGAGATGGGGCAGCAGCACTGCCTTGCTCCTGATTTTAATGGAAACGCTTCTAAAAATTCACAGTTAAGTGTGATGTCTGATCTGTTTCTGGTAGATACCCTTTATCAGTTTAAAGAAGTCTTCTTCTATTTTTGGCTTGCTAAGAATTATCAAAAATGGAAGCTGAATTTTATCACTTATTTCTTCTGCCTTTGACTGGATGTAATCTGATGGCAGAATATAAAATTTCATGTTACCCGGCCAGCTTCATGAACTCAGATCTTTGACATTACTATTTACTTTTGTTCACCTGGTCTCAGATGGACCACAAGAGGGATAGTAAAGTCTACTAAACCTAACAGATGTTTCCCCCTTTCTACTTGTCTTTGCAGCATTTTAACTATATCATTGGTGCAGTGTCTTCAAGTACACGCTTTGATGACAGCCATAACTTTATTGACAGAACCTTTCAATGACATAAACTTACCTTCTTTGGTCAATGAATTTTAACCTGATAGGTACATTTTCCAGAATATGACACATTCTAGTTTTACTAAGGAAATATTTTAGGAGAAAAACAAAGCAAGTAAGCATTTGGCATCAGAAACACATAAAAGATAGCTTTTAGGTAGCTTTTCAGGGGAAAGCATTATTCATGTAAATAACTTCAGATAATATACTGAAACCCAGCAGAAACCCAGATGTTGGAGAGCAGCAACAGCAAACTGTCCCTGCCAAACCTGACCAAACTGTAGACCCATGATCAAGATAAATGTTAAGACTTTATATTTTGAGGAGGTTTGTTACACAGCAATAGAAAATAGAAACATTACTAATACATCGCTGAAGAAAAAAAAAAAATATATATATATATATATCATAGCAAGCAACATAGAACTATTTGGTAGCCTGACTCCAGAGATGGCTACCAGGTGGGCCTGGCCTCATGTTCAGACCCTTGAGTAGTCACCTACACTGCGACTCACTTGTAACAAGTAGAACGCAGCAGAATGCACACCATGAGCCTTCCAAGGATGGACAGGAAGAAGCCTTAAGATTTCCACTTTGGTCTCCTGCCACTTGCTCTAGGATCCCTGAGTCACTATGAAAGAGTCCAGCTACCCTAAGGCTGCCATGATGAAGAGACCACACAGAAATAGCACAGTGAAGGCCAGATGTGGTGGCTCACGCCAGTAATCCCAGCACTTTGGAAGGCCAAGGTGGGTGAATCACCTGAGGTCAGGAGTTTGAGATGAGCCTGGCCAACATGGCAAAACCCTGTCTCTACTAAAAATACGAAATTAGCCAGGCGTCGTGGCTTACACCCGTAATCCTAGTTACTTGGGAGGCTAAGGCAGGAGAATCATTTGAACCCAGGAGGTGGATGCTGCAGTAAGCCGAGATTGCACTACTGCACTCCAGCCTAGGAGACAGAGCGAAACTCTGTCTTTAAAAAAAAGAAAAAACACGGTGGCTCACGCCTGTAATCCCAGCACTTTGGGAGGCCGAGGTGGGCGGATCACGCGGTCTGGAGATCAAGATCATCCTGGCTAACATGATGAAACCGTCTCTACTAAAAATACAAAAAATTAGCCGGGCGCGGTGGCAGGTGCCTGTAGTCCCAGCTACTCCAGATGCTGAGGCAGGAGAATGGTGTGAACCTGGGAGGCAGAGTTTGCAGTGAGCTGAGATCACACCATTGCACTCCAGCCTGGGTGATAGAGCAAGACTCCATCTCAAAAAAAAAAGAAAAAAGGAAAAAAAGGATAAGAAATAGCACAGTGAAGAAGCCTTGAGACTCTATGAGGAAAGAAGAGAGAGAAAGACACCCCACTAGCCCCCAGCTGTTCCATCCCTCAACGATTTGAGTCATCCCAGCTAAGGCCCCAGATGTTGGAGAGCAGAAGCAGCAAACTGTCCCTGCCAAGCCTGACCAAACTGTAGACCCACGAGCAAGATAAATGTTAAGACTTTATATTTTGAGGAGGTTTGTTACACAGCAATAGAAAATAGAAACATTACTAATACATCGCTGAAGAAAAAAAATATATATATATGTATCTCATAGCAAGCAACAATGCCCAACACAACAAATGTACTGGTAAATGAAGTCTGTATCATATATCTAGTATTTTAACTGCAAATGCCAATGCTGCATTTCATTAAATATCACTAAAACATGAACTACAAAGTAAAATAAATGTGAATAAATTCCTACACAGCTTCAGTATTTGTCAATCTGTTGGAATTTCTTTGTTTTACATGGTAATTTGTACTTTGCTTACTGATATTTAATCTATCTAGAATGCCTGTGAGTCAATTCAAGGCCTACAGAATTGACTTTGTTACCATCTACCAAAACTAAAAAACTGCCAGTTAATTTTTCTGTTAAAATGATTTTTCTAGGTTCATTTTTCATTAAAAGTGCTTATAGGTAATTCTAGAGATTAGTATAGTAATTACATAATTCAAGAAATGGGGCCAGGTACGGTGGCTCCCACCTGTAATCCCAGTACTTTCAGAGGCCAAGGCGGGTGGATCACCTGAGGTCAAGAGTTTGAGACCAGCCTGGCCAACATGGAGAAACCCCATCTCTACTAAAAATACAAAAATTAGCCAGGTGTGGTGGCATGCACCTGTAATCCCATCTACTCAAGAGGCTGAGGCAGAAGAATCACTTGAACCCGGGAGGCAGAGGCTGCAGTGAGCTGAGATGGTGCCACTGCACTCCAGCCTGGGCAACAGAGCAAAACTCAGTCTCAAACAAAAAAGGAAATAAATCTGGGCCAAGCATAGTGGCTCACACCTATAATCCCAATACTTTTGGAGGCCAAGGTAGGAGGATCACTTGAGTCTAGAAGTTTGAGATGAGTCTTAGGCAACATAATGAGACCCCATCTCTACAAAAATAAAAATAAAAATTAGCTAGGTGTGGTGGCTCATGCCTATAGTCCCAGCTACCCAGGCTGAGGTGGGAGGATTGCTTGAACCCGGGAGTTTGAGGCTACAGCGAATTATGATCAGGCCACTGTACTCCAGCCTGGGCAATTAAAGTGAGACCCCATTTAAAAAAAAAAAGAATCTGGTGTCAATTATTTGTGCTGAAAAGGATATACAGAGTTGAGACGTACTATGTCTGATACTTTTGCTTTAGACTGTAATAGTTTCATCTTATTTTGAGCAAAAAAAGTAATAATAGGGTATTGGCAGAATGATAGACATATAAATCAATGGTAGAATTGAGAGTACAGAAATAAATCCTCACATTTATGGTCAACTGAATTCCAACAAAGGTGCCAAGACAAATCAATGGAGAAATGATAAAAGAATAATCTTTTGAACAAATGGTGCTAAAACAACTGGATATCCACATGCAAAGGAAGGAAGTTGAATACCTACCACACACCATATACAAATATTAACTCAAAATGGATCAAAGATCTGAATATAAGAATTAAAGCTGGCCGGGCGCAGTGGCTCACGCCTGTAATCCCAGTACTTTGGGAGGCTGAGGCGGGCAGATCACGAGGTCAGGAGATCAAGACCATCCTGGCTAGTATGGTGAAACCCCGTCTCTACTAAAAATACAAAAAAAAAAAAAAAATTAGCCAGGCGCGGTGGCAGGTGCCTTAGTCCCAGCTACTCAGGATGCTGAGGCAAAAGAATGGCGTGAACCCGGGAGGCAGAGCTTGCAGTGAGTGGAGATCGCACTGCTGCACTCCAGCCTGAGCGACAGAGCAAGACTCCGTCTCAAAAAAAGAAAAAAAAAAAAGAAAAAATTAAAGCTATAAAATTCTTTATTTATTTTTTTGAATCTTACGCTGTCACCTGGGCTGGAGTGCAGTGGCACAATCGCAGCTCACTGCACCCTCAACCTCCTGAGTAGCTGGGACTACAGGCCTGCACCGCCACACCCAGCTAATTTCATACTTAACAGACTAAAGTACACTGTAAACACAACTTTTATATATGCTGGGAAACCAAAAAATTCATGTGACTCACTTTATTGTGCTATTTGCTTTACTGCAGTAATCTGGAACCAAACCTACGGTATCTCTGAGGTATGGCTGTATTTCAAAATCATATCTCTGATAAGGTACTAGTATATTACAAATACCTCTTACAACTCAGTAACAGAAAGGAAAATAACCCAATTAAAATATGGGCAACAAGGAGTTTCTAGTTCCAAATGGTGGCATAGAAGCAAGTTGGCTTCACTGCCTCCCAAAAGAAAACCAAAAACGAACATACAGCAGCTCCAAGATTATCAGCAGCAATATCCCAGAACTCTAAATATGAGGCTCAGACAGCTCTCACGGCAACAGACAAGTGAAAAAACTCTGAACAGACAGTAAGACAACTGGACTTTCATACCTGTGACACCCGTCTCCATAATGTGCCCAGCACCAAGCGTGAGGAAAATTTCCACAACTCAGTTGCTACACTGGAAAAAGCAGATGGAGGTGAACAACTACTGTCCCACCATCTTAGGTTCCCTGGCAGAAGACCTGTCCCTGCTTCAACCCATGGGAACCACTGTAAGTACCTGAAGGGAAACTATCCCTGAGGATAGCCAGAGGCAAAGTGGGGAAGCAGAACTACTATTCCCAGCCCTGGAAACGCTGCTCTGTAACTTGGCCAGAGAAGACACCAAATCAGAGCGGCTGTTCAGCAGATGCACACAGTAGAAGGTATGTCCCACAGGTCCCCTGGGCACAGACGCCTTGCCAGTATTCCCACACTGCCGGGTTATCCTCTTTGTGACCTCCCCCATTCGGGATGGGCAATACTCTGATGGTTCCCTAGAGCCAAGGTAAACCTGGGCTTAAGGCACCATCTAGTGCCTATAAAGAGGCAGCAACCTAGCAGAAAAAAAGGAAGAAATTCAACAAGTAAATTACAAAGAATCTCTAAGTAAACATATCCAATAAAAAACAAAATAACCCAGACAGACAAGACTGGAATAAATACTCTTTCAATGCAAAGACATAGACATATATCCATAAGAAACAACAGGAAACAGGGAACCACGGCCTCCCCAAACAGACAAAGCAAGGAACCAGTGACTGTCTCTAACAAGATGGCAATATATGAGCTCTCTGACCAAGAATTCAAAATAGTAGTTTTAAGGAAATTCAGTCATCTCCAAGATAACATAGAAAAGTAATTCGGAAATTTGTCAGAGAAATTTAATAAAGAGATTGAAACTTAAAACAATCAAACTGCTGGGCACAGTGGCTCATGACTGTAATCCCAACACTGTGGAAGGCTGAGATAGGGGCCTTGGGGCCAGGAGTTTGAGAACAGCCTCAGCAACACAGCAAGACCCCATCTCTACAAAAAACATAAAAAATTAGCCAAGCACTGTGGTGATCGCCTGTAGTCTTACCTACTCAGGAGGCTGAGGTGGAAGCACTGCTTGAGCCCAGGAGTTCGAGGTTGCAGTGAGCTAGAATTGTACCACCAGACTCCAGCCTGGGTAACAGAGCAAGATCCCATCTCTAAAAAATCAACATCATCATCATCATCATCATCATCACCATCATCACCATCATCATCACCATCAAACAGAAATCCTGGAACTGAGAAACACATTTGCTGAACTGAAAAATTAATTTGAGGCTCTCAACAGCGGAATGGATCAAGCAGAGAATCACTGAGCTCAGAGACAAGCTATCAAAAACACAGAGAGGAGAAAAAGAAAAAACCAAAGGAATGAAGATCACCTACAAGATACAGAAAATTACCTCAAAAGACCCAATCTAAGAATTATGGTGTTCAACAAGGTGATGAGCAACAATAAGGGGTAGAAAGCTTATTCAAAGAAATAACAGAAAACTTCCAAAACTTAAGATATAAATATCCAGCTACAGGAAAACCACAGAACACCAGAGTCAACTTAAATGAGTGTACCCCAAGGTATATACTAATCAAACTCTCAACATTCAGAAATAAAGAGAGAAACTTAAAAACAGCAAAAGAAAAGAAACAAGTAACAAAGGAACTCCAATTCATCTGGTGACAGACTTCTCAACAGAAACTATACAAGCCAGGCTGGGCACAGTAGCTCATGCCTGTAATCCCAGCACTTAGGGAGGCCAAGGCAGGCAGATCACTTGAGGTTAGGAGTTTGAGACCAGTCTGGCCAACATGGTGAAACCCTGTCTCCACTAAGAAAACAGAAATTAGCCAGGCGTGGTGGCACATGCCTGTGGTCTCAGCTACTCAGGAGGCTAAGGCAAGAGAATCACTTGAACCTGGGAGTGGAAGGCTGCAGTGAGCCGAGACTGTGCCACTGCACTCCAGCCTGGGCAAGAGAGCAAGATTCTGTCTCAGAAAAAAAAAAAAGAAGAAGAAGAAACCATATAGGCCAGGAAGGAGTGGGATGATATTTTCAAGGTTCTGAAAGAAAGAAAACACTATATAAGAATATCGTATCCAGCAAAGCCATCCTTCAAATATGAAGGACTAATAAAGTCTTTCCCAAACAAACACTGAGAGAATTTAACACCAACCAGACCTATCTTAGAAGAAATGCTAAAGGAAGTTCCTCAAACTGAAAGAAAAACACACTAACATGCAGAAAGAAAAAAATTGAGGGTATAAAACCCACTGGAAAAAGAAATACTTAAATAATATATAAAATAAATATAAAACACACTGGTACACAGACAACCCCAGAATACTCTAATACTGTACTCATGATGTGCAATCCATGCAAAACTCTAGTGTGAAGCCTAGAAACAGAAACAATCAGAGCTACAGCGACCTATTAAAAGACAGGTAATATAAACACGTAAATTGAGATAACAAAAAGTCAAAATATGGGGGATGGAGTTAAAGTATAGGGGTATTTTTAGTTTTTTCTTTGTT